>NC_000001.11:240881091-241032606 GCF_000001405.40 Homo sapiens | reverse complement strand
ATAGATCGGAAGAATCAATATTGTTTAAATGACCATACTTAACAAAGCAATCTACAGATTCAATGCAATTCCTATCAAAATCCCAACATTATTTTCCACAGAATTAGAAAAAACAATTCTAAAATTCATATGGAACCAAAAAAGAACCCAAATAGCCAAATTTAATCCTAAGCAAAAAGAACAAAGCTGGAGGCATCACTGTTACCTGATTTCAAATTATACTGCAAGGATACAATAATCAAAACAGCACGGTACTGGTATAAAAATAGACACATAGGTCAATGGAACAGAGTAGAGAACCCAGAAATAAAGCTACATACATGCAGTCAACTGATCTTAGACTAAGTTGACAAACTTATGCACTGGAGAAAGGACACCCTATTCAATAAATGGTGCTAGAAAATTTGGTTGCCAAATGCAAGAGGATGAAACTGGATCTCTATCTTTCACCATATACAAAAGTCACTTCAAGATAGATTAAAGACTTAAATGTAAGACCTGAAACTATAGAAATACTAGAAGTAAACCTGGGGAAAACTCTTCTGGATATTGCCGTAGGCAAAGAATTCATGACTGAGACCTCAAAAGCACAAGTAACAAAAACTATTTTGGACAAATGAGATTCATTTAAACTAAGAAACTTCTGCATAGAAAAAGAGATAATCAACAGAGTGAACAGACAGCCTGAAGAATAGAAGAAAGTATTTGCAAACTATGTGACAAAGCACTAATATCTAGAATCTACGAGGAACTTAAATAATCAACGATGACAAAGAAAACAAATAACCCCATTAAAAAGTGGGCAGAGGGCACAAACAGACATTTTTCAAAAGAAGACATAAAAATGGCCAACAAGCATGTGAAAAAATGCTAGACATCACCAATTATCAGATAAATGCAAATGAAAACCACAATAAGATATCATCTTACACCAGTCTGAATGGCTATTATAAAAAGTCAAAAAAATAAGAGATGTTGGCGAGGATGTGGAGAAAAAGGAACGTTTATACAATGTGGGTGGAAATGCAAATTAGTACTTCTATGGAAAACAGTATGGAGATTTTTCAAAGTACTAAAAAATAAAACTACCATTTGATCCAGCAATCCCAATACTGAGCATCTACCCAAAGGAAAAGAAATCACTATATAAAAACGATACCTGCACTTGTATGTTTATCACAGCACAATTCACAACAGCAAAGATATGTAATCAACCTAAGCATCTATCAAGGAATGACTGGAGAAAGAAAATATGGTATACTATAATATATACAACAGAATACTACTGGTCCATAAAAATATATAATAAAATAATGTCTTTTACAGCAGCACAGATGGAACTGGAGGCCATTGTCTTAAGTGAAATAACTCAGAAATAGGAAGTCAAATGCCACATGTTCTCACTTGTAAGTAGGAGCAAAACAGTGTGAAGACAAGACTATAGAATTCATAGACATTGAAGACTCGGAAGGGTGGGAGGAAGCAGGAAGGGGAGTGAAGGATGAGAAATTACTTAATGAGTACAATGTACCTAATTTGAGTGATGGTTCTACTAAAAGCCGGGGCTTCACCACTATGCAATATATCCATGTAACAAAACTGCACTTGTACTCCCTAAATTTATACAAATAATTTTTAAAAGAAGTTGCTGAATGTTTTGTGTTGGGGGGTGTTTTGGGGCAGGGCACTCCCTATGCTCCTTTCAAAGGGATGTCACTTGGACTGGCCCAGTTGAGCCTACCATCGCCTGATCACAGCCTTGGACTGTCAGTTTCCATGTGTAATACCATGTGGGGAGGATTTTTTTAAGAGGAGTATTTTTAAATGATTACTTCAGCTGCTATACAGAGAAAAGCTTGAGGAGGAAGAATGGAAGCCAGGAAACCCACTGGTTCCCAGATTGCAGTGGTATAGTCCAGGGGAGAGATGATAGTGGCTGAGACTAGAATGGTCGACAGGAGAGATGAGAATGAGCCAAGTTTTAAGATTTCTTTGAGTAACAGAGGAAAAGAGAGATAGGTCAAGGCAATTCCAGATTTGGGATTGAGCAATTGGATGGGAAGTGGAGCCATCAAAGAAGGATGTGTGTGTGTGTGTGTGTGTGTGTGTGTGTACATCTATATACATACCATGCATATATGTTTGTATATGTGTATATATATTGCACATATATATTTATATATTTTATAAATATATGTGTATATAGTGTGTGTGTGTATGTATGTGTGTATGTATATATATATATGCTATAAGTTCTGGAAAAAACAAAGCAACTCAATCATTATTCCAAGCCCTGTGGGAGGGTAGAAATCCATATTTATCAGTCAGTTTTGGCTGCACCTATTGTATCTCAACAGCCCACGGCTGATGTAAAAGAAAAAGGAAACCACGTCTAAGCCTTACTTACTACCAATCAATATTTGCCATTGTCTTGATAGAGCAAGGGGTGCAAACCTACACCTAGCTTATTCCCTTAAGTAAATTGCCAAGCATCAGTGAGAAAGTGACAACCTAAAAAGAGTAATCTTTACTCTCAGTGTAATAGTTTAATCAAATAATCTTGAGCAAACACGGAAGCTATAATGTGTTGTGCGTCATTCTAGAAAGACTTTAGGAAAAACTGCAGAACCGTCATTGGTGTAATGGAGGTGCCTGTTATCTGTGCCTCTCCGCTTCACGTATTGCCACAACTGATTATTTTTAAAAAGGCAAATATCACTGAAAAGAAATGAAATAAGAAGAGAAATGAAATAAGATCAGGCTAATTCAGTCTTTTTGGCAGCTGTTGTTTACATCAGATCTAATGCACATAAGCAACCATTTCTATATTGTATATTTGTGTACTGATGTTGTGAAATCTGGGAGTTTAGGGACAAGCTGTCAGTAAGAGTATGTTATCTCCTTTAGGCGGAATTATTCAATTTAGCAGTAAATAGATCGGCATGCTGAGAAAGCTGATGGTAAATAAGACCCTGGGATGCAAGGTAATTGAATAAGCATGGCATTTATTCTTGTTCAGATGTTGTAACATTCATCTTGAAGGCTTAAAAATATTAAATTTCTTATTTTGCACATGTCACTACACCCAGAATATTCTGCTCAAAGGGCAACAAAAGGTTCTTTAGCAGATGTGTGGAAACTCATTTCCAAAATGTTTGACTTGTCACCAAATTCATCTATAACCATGATTCCAAACCCCACGTCAGATTTTCTTTTTAAATACAAAGCTAGATTTCGAGGGGTTATGTTTAAAATGAATGAATATAATTACATGGGGTTTTAAATTTTTATAAAAGGGTGCTGAAAATAAGTATTGGTGGCTGTGCCTGAAGCTAAAAGAAAGTGGGTGTAATGTATTTTGCTAGATGGCTACTTCCCTCCCCCTCCCCCCATGGTAATTTTGTGTCAGGAAATTCTTGGATTTGTTCTGCTTTATAGAGTGACTTCCTCTAGTTTCTGTTTTTGTTTTGTTTTTCTTTTTTACATCAACAGCCTCAACCTACAACCCTACCGAGCCAGCCTCCAGAAATCTCTTTGTCCCTTTGATTTTCGCCTCTTCAATCGTATTGATTTCTCCCGCCTGCCCACGTTGGTCCAATCTCTTGGCTGGAACATCCTTTCTTCCTCTCACCATTCATCTTATTCTTAGTTTCTTCGAAATAGGAACACAGTATCTTTTGAAGCCCTTTCTGGCTGCCCCAGTTCGCATTCCCTTTGGGTCTTCTGTGTCAACAGGTGGCCTTGGTAGTCATCGTCGCATCGGTTTTATGATTTATGTCATTATGATGTAGCTCATCCTGCCTCACTACCCAGATGGTGATCCTCTCAAGCATAAGAATATTGTTGCTGATTATTTTGTGTCTCGACTTGTCCTTTGCTTTTCAACTTATCCTAAGGGTGTCTGTGCCCTCAGCTCCAGTCCCTGCGCCTCCCTGGGCCCTCGCTGATCTCCATTGCTCTGCCTGCATCTTGCCTGCCTCTTCAGCAGCATCTTTCAGCTGAAACACGTTCTTTGATGGGCTTCTTTCATCCCGTGCTCTCCTGGCTCTCCTCCTCCCTGTTTCACCGGCATCTCAGTCTCTTTCTCCAACAAAAACTAATGATGAAGTGAACCCAGTGGCCTGGGGCTGTGTACTGTGCGTCTTGTCTCTACCTCTGTGTCCTCCCTCACTGCATAATACCATTGCAACAGTAAAGCTTTGGATAGGCACAAGCTATAATTGTATGTATTTCTACAAACTGAATATGAGTTCCAAACTCTTTCCTAGCAGACAACTTAATGTTGACACTGTCAGGTAAATTCAATTCACAAGCAGATTTCTTGTACTTTTGATTTGGATTCCCAATCCAATTCAAAACTCTATCCATCGGCATCCTCTTGAGAACTCTATGGTTGAGTCTATGTGGCCAGGAATTTATGTAACTACAACATCCAAACGTTGAAAGGGAGGGAAGGCTGGTGCCTGCTTAGTGAACATCACTGGCTTCTTGGTCCTCTGCTGTCCCGATCTTCATTTTCTGAAGTCCAGCACTCAACATGGCTGATGCCCAGTAATCATGCTCATAGAGCTGATACACGTTTCTCTCCAGTGGTTCCACAAGGTAAAGCTATTTCCTCTCATCTTAATTCAAAACGAGCCAGCTAGCCTACACTTGCACTAAATTAATAAATCACATATTTCCTGTCACAGGTAGTATAATCCTGTAGCTTCAAATGCCATCTAGATGCTAGTTACTTCAGTATTTCTATATTCTCCTACACACTAGACATTTCTACTTGGTTATCTAATATGTGTTTCAAATTTAAGTTCCACAAAACCCAATTCTTGATTCCCATTCTCTCCACCTGTTTTTCCTCCATACTTCTCCTTCTCAACTGCCGGCTCCTCCTCTCATGCAGTTGTAAAAATACAAACCTAGGCTCTCCTCCATCTGTCTCTCTTTCCCTCGCTTCACCCATCATCAAGTCCTATTGGTTCTGTCACTAGAAGAATCTCAAAACCAGGCTCATTCTCATCTCCCTTTTCATCACGCTAGGCTAAGCCACCAGCATCTTTCCCCTGGAGTACATATACCACGCACCCTGGGCAGCAGTGGGTCTCCTGGCTTTCATTCTTCTTCCTCAAGCCATTCTCCACACAGCAGCCAAAGTCATCTTTTAAAAATGCAAATCACATCACATTATTCCCCTACTTAAGATCACTCACCAACTTCCTACTGCAGTTAGAATTAAAACGAATTTCTTATTATGAATCTTTCTTATTATAGGATCTTATTACAGGATCTTATTACAGAATCTCTGCTCACTTCCCAAGTTTCTCCTCCAGTTTCCCTCCCCACTCCCTGCCACCACACTCCACATGAACCTTCTTTTTTTTTTTCTTCTTTTCTTTTGTATTTGTTTGAGACAGGGTCTCATTCTGCCACCCAGGCTGGAGTACAATGACATAATCATAGCTAACTGCAGACTGGAACTTCTGGGCTCAAGTGATCTTCCTGCCTCAGCCTCCTGAGCATCTGGAACTACAGGCACGTACCACCCCGCCTGGCTAATTTTTTTTTTTTTTTTTAATTTCTGGTAGAGATGGGGTCTTTTTATGTTGCTGAGGCTGGAACCTTGTTTTTTCTTAAAACATGCCAAGCTCATTCTAGCCTCAGTACCTCTCCTCTTACCATTTCTTACGCGTACAAAACCCTTTCCTTTGATTCCTTTGAAGACATCATGGATGTCTTATGATCACTCAGAGAGATCCTCTAAGCCCACTTAGTTTAACATTGGATGCCCCAAACCCCGCTCACCAAGTAGTCCCTCTCACTCACCAGACTCTTTGATTTTCACACAGTACTTAACAATATCTAGAATGATTTTATTTATGCATTGCTCAAGGTTGTGTCTCTCTCTTACTGTAATGTAAGTACCCCCAGAGCATGGCCCTTCCTGCCTGGCTCACTGTTAGCTGTCCAGTGCCCAGTGTAGTGCCTGGCAGATAAACAGCACTCAATAATTTTTTTTTTTTTGAGACAGAGTCTCACTCTGTCACACAGACTGGAGTGCAGTGGCGCGATCTCGGCTCACTGCAACGTCCGCCTCCCAGGTTCAAGCGATTCTTGTGCCTCAGCCTCCCGAGTAGCTGGAATTACAGGCATGTGCAACCATGTCTGGCTAATTTTTGTATTTTTAGTAGAGACAGGGTTTCACCATGTTGGACCAGGCTGGTCTCTAACCCCTGACCTCAGGTGATCCACCCGCCTCGGCTTCCCAAAGTTCTGGAAATACAGGCAGGAGTCACCGCACCCGGCAATAAATTATTAATAGCAGAATAAATTAACAAGTCTGCATTATGTAGAAAATACCTTACATTTATTCAGTCAACAAATGTTACCGAGTTCCCTCTGTGTGTGAGGCACACCACTAGACACTGGGAAGGCAAAATATAATAAGAAAAATGTGTAGTTGCTGACCATGCAGAGCTTGTATTCCAGTGCTGGAAGCAGGCACTAAATAAATAATTGCTCAGTTAATTATACACATTGTGTTGAGTGCTATGGAGAAGTTAAACAATATATTAAAGAGACAATTTGCCAATATACATTTGTATTGCTGCTTTAGAAAGTATGTCCACATTACTATGTTCTATTAATGCTATGTGCTGCACGAACAGCATGAAGATTTAGACTGTATTTCACCTGAGGGAATATATCATTCCATTATGATTCAGTTTAGCACCAGCCTGCTCTAACTTCCAGAAAGTGAGTCCACTGTCAATCATATTTTGTGAATTATCTGTTAGATAATTTGGATTCTGCATTTCCCTTCAGTACCTTCATCAGGTAACTGAATCCATTGAAAATGATTCCTGTGATAGCTTTGTTCTTATGAACTGTAATATCCTTCATTAAAAAAAAAAAGCTTCTAGAATTTCCCATTTTTGTACATGTTTCATCTCTGTGGTTCTTGAGGCATAGATAAAGCAAAAAGACAATCTTCCCTCCCCCATATTTAGTTTCATCAGTTCTCAGCAATGTGGAATATGAAAAGCTCCCTGCACAGCCCCTAGGCAGTAGGCATGCCAAGTAGTTAGAGCTTGAATCTGGAGGTGGTGGTCACAATGTGGCTTCAGATCTCAGCTTCTCAGCTCTGTGACCTTGGACAAATGACTGAACTTCTCTTTGTTTTATATTCCCTGGCTGTAGACCAGAGATAATGATAATATCTAAAATAATTTTTGTAAGGATTAAAATGCCTAATACATATAAAGCCCATGGATCTGTGATAAGAACTTAATAAGCATTCAGTAAAGCTTAGATAGCACTATCTAATTACCACACTACCCCTCTACTGATGTTGCTGCCACTACTTCTGCTAACCACTGACCTGTCCTGTTCAACACCATTGTGTATTTTGTACTTTCCTTGAAAGCTAGTATCCTCAACTCCTTGTTTGCACTGGAGAGCATATTACATAACCTAAAATACTTTGCCTTTCATAAATTGAAATTTGTCTCTCTACCAAGGGTGGCTTTTGCGCTTCCTGATAGCATTTAATATTTCTTCATAATGGAGGCAGAAAGCAATTGGCCCCAAAGGCAAATTCCCAGGGACTCAATAGACTGAAAGCTATTACGGTACTTGAAAGTTTCTAAAATTAGTAGCTCTCAATAAGAATTTATCAAAAATTAAAATGGATAGAAATTAACATTTTAATTTGCAATCAGCAATCTCTTTGACTTACTCTCGTTCTTGATAAAGGGGTGGGAGAATCACATCTGCTTTTCTAATCTGGGTACAATACAAAACAGGCCTGAATTATCCCCAGTTAATATTAATACATAAGCATTTCAAATCAATGATCTGCAGTGTCTTTTTGAGCATCAATATACATCTCTCTCCACAATTTCCTTTGTTCTCCCTATGTTTGTTAGTTTCTGTGACTAACCTTGACTTTCTGCTCCATAATTTATTCTTCCATTCGGCGTCCTTAAGTCTATTTAATGACATTTATATTTGATTTGATTGTCTTTAAAAGAGTCAATTCACATTTCTTTCTTGCCCTTAATAATAATATAATGAGATATTATTCCAGAATGTCACTGGTATACTAGCTCATCATCCTTCAAAGATGTTTGTGCTTCCTGCTGGATAATCAAGAGTGGGTGCAAAACCCACCTAGGCAATGAGAACACTTGTACTTCCATTCAGCTGCAGGGAAATAGCATAAGCACAAATCTCAGGTACTATTACTGTGATCTCCCAAGGATACAGGATTACTAAGAGGTATTGCCTGGATCCAAAATAGATCTGCTTGTCCTGAGTCCTGTTTTCCTCCTTCCTCTCCATTATCACAGCTTCCAGCTTTTGAGCACCTGTTAAGTGAAGGTGCTAGGCTTCACATGCCTCCTTATCACTGTGTGAATATATTATTTCCCTTTGAAGTATGATGATTCAGACATGACCGCCAAAGCTAGGTGGCCTGGGTTACAGTCCTGGATAAATTAGCTTATTTCTTTGTTCTTCTGTTTTCTCATCTTTGAAACAGTTATTAAAAAGCATTGTCAGCCGGATGTGTTGGCTCATGCCTGTAATCCCAACAATTTTGGGAGGCCAAGGCAGGCAGGAGGTCGACCACACCTGAGTCAGGAGTTCGAGACCAACCTGACCAACATGGAGAAACCCCTCTCTACTAAAAATACAAAATTAGCCGGGCATGGTGGCGCATGCCTGTAATCCCAACTACTCGGGAGGTGGAGGCAGGAGAATCTCTTGAACCCAGGAGGCTGAGGTTGCAGTGAGCCAAGATCGCGCCATTGCACTGCAGCCTGGGCAACAAGAGTGAAACTACATCTTGATCAATCAATCAATCAATCAATCAATATGAAAAGCATTGTAAAAACAAAAATGGCACTCGACAATGTAAACAGGCAAGGAAGATGTTATTTAAGGCTATTGCATTAGGGAAGATAAATCAGAATTAAGACAGAGCTCAAGGAATAAAGGATGGTAGAGTTTTTAGAGTTTCAAGAACTGGAGTGGGGCGTATCACAGGGCATCCATGTTTGCCAATTGGCGTGATCCCAAAACAAAGTTAATTTTCTCATATCTTTGTGACAGGAGGTAGTTTTACAACTAGGACAATTTAAGCCTGTGCCCTCCCTGGGAGACTGGGAAGCACTGTCTTCATTGATGATGACTTTTCAAAGGAATGGTTCTCAGGTCCTTGAGAAGGACAGTGCTGGGTTACAAAACTGGCAAGAGGCTTTTAAAAAGATTTACACCTAAAGGAGCAGAGAGAAAATGTACATCTACGAGTTTTCTAAAGTAAGCGCTCTAAAACAAGGGAGTTCAGGGGCCTGAGTCCAGAAGAAGCTGAACTAAAGTTTAGTCAAACTGAGGAAAATGTTAAGGCTGTTTTGGTCAGCATTTTACACGATTTTACCCATTTAATCATTATGACAACTATATCTCATAGTTGTTATTTTACACGATTGTAAATTTTACATGATTTTATTCATTTAACTATAACAACTATATCTGTAGTTGTTATTCTACACAATTTTACCTATTTAATCATTATAACAACTATATCTCATAGTTGTTATTTTACATGATTTTACCCAGTATCATTTTAACAACAATAGTTGTTATTAGTTATTATTAATTATTAGTAGTGGTATCTCCATGGTAGGGAGCATGGAGTTAGTGAGGTTTAGTGAGGCCACCAGCAAGTTACCTAACCTTTTAAGCCTCACTTTGATCATATTGCAACTACCCAATGGGTTCTTCCTGCCCACTGCACAAACAAAATCAGCTCACTAAGACCATGGCATTACAGTAAAGGAAGAGCTTAAGTGTCACGATGCTGGCCACGCCATGTTGGAGATGGAGTTAATATTCTAATCAATTTTCCTGAAAACTCAGGGATCAGGGTTTTTAAGGATAATTTGGTGGGTAGGGTGTCAGAAAGTCGGGAGTGCTGATTGGACAGGTCAAAGATGAGATCATAGGGAGTCAAAGCTGTCTTCTTGCGCTGAGTCAGTTCCTGGATGGGGGCCATAAGACCAGATGAGGCAGTTTATAGATCTGGGTGGCATCAGCTGGTGCATTAGAATGTAGACTCTGCAAAGTATCTCAAACACTAATCTCAGGTTTTACAACAGTGACTCCTAAACTATAATTTCTAGTCTTCTGGCTAATTTGTTAGTACTGCAAAGGCAGTCTAACAAAGGCAAGAAGAGGGTTGGTTGCGGGAAAGGACTGTTATTTTATGTTTCAAAGTTAAACTCTAAACTGCGTTGCTCCCAAAGTTAGTTCACTCTACACCCAGGAATGAACAAGGACAGCTTGGAGGTTAAAAGCAAGACCAAGTTGGTTAGGTCAGACCTCTTTCACTGTAATAATTTTATCAGTTATAATTTTTGCAAAGGTGGTTTTAATACATGATGTGAGATTGAAAAGGCCTACCTAATAGGGCTATTATAAGGAATAATGAGGTTTTGAATAGTAACCCCCTTGTATATAATCAGTTTTCAATCAATGGCAGATAATATTGTCATCGTAGGACCCTGTATTGCGTTTAAATCTGCTGTCTTAACCGCACAGCTAAACATGCAGTGATCAGAGAACCCAGGAGGCAACTGGTCACCTTCCTTTATCATTCTTACCATCCTCACTTTAGATGGGCCAGGTGTTCAACTGCTGGTCCTCTCCCACCATTTTTCTCAGGTTGAACAGAACACATTCTCCTATATTGGTAAGTAAGCCAGGGCTATCAAGATAGGACCCCGAGTGGTTAGTGCTTCAAATCTCAGCTTGTAAACTGAGTAAACTAAGTAAATAGGTTTTTATAAGGTACGAAAGTGGTATATTACCATACCCATTAGGAATGTTTTCACATAGATTTTTAATAGTAAAGGAAAGGCATTAGATTCCAGCCAACAGTCTACCCTTCCACCTCCTCCCCTTGACCGCCCCCCAGAGTAGGTTTGAAAGTTATGGATAGGGAGTTTAAAACAGTCCACATGACACTCAGTCAGCAAATACTTGGTTCTTATTCTGAAACTGGATACGTATTCTTGTGAATCCGTGTTTCCAGTAAGCTGTGCCATATGCCCATAGCTGTGCACCAATCGGAGATGTGTTCACTGTCTAAATGTCATGTAAATGCTCAGAAGCAAAGCCAAAGGGTTATGTCCAAACATTTTGAAAATGAATTACAGACTGAAAATAAAAACAGTAAGCTGGATTTTTGAAACAACCTTTGTTGTTTGTTTGGAAATGATAAATTATTGTCTCCTTGCTGTCCTCTGTACCCAGCCCTCCACCCCACCCCTTGCATATGCACTGAATAAGAGAGGAATAAAACAGCAAACCTGCTTCTCACAGTAGAATGAGGACTCACAGACAGCTGCTGTTGTGTGACAGAGGAGGATCGCTAAGTGTAAATTGCTCATTGTTACTGATGCATGCAAAATAGAGCTTCTTTGGTTCTGGAGATTGAAATTTGAGAAAGAAAATAAGAAGATGAGGCAGTACAGCTATGTTGACAACACTAATAAGAAGTTCTACCAATGTCGTGAGTCTTTCTGTCAGCATTTTTAATTAAACCATAAACATTAACTGGATTACCCTTCTGTCTTAATTTCCCATTTACAACATAAGAACCATATTATTTGCTTCCTCTCTATTCAAAGGAATGATCCCAAATTGCTTTTGTGGATAAAATATTGTGATCCCCTTGAAGGAAAAACAGTAAGTTGATACAGTAGATCATGTTTTCTTGACTGTCTGGCACTGATGGTTGTATTGTGGAATCTATTCTATTGGACAAAGAAATTAAAACACTACTCTCTATTCTTCTAGGGCAATATAGAAGTTTATATGGAACTTTAAGATTAATTGTTTGGCCAAACTGATAGTTTGGTTCAGTCAACAGCTGACTTAACTAATACATTATAGAAGATTGAATGGTCTTTCCCTCAAAAAAGAAAAAAATATGTTCATGTCCTAATTTTGAGAACCTGTGAATGTGACCTATTTGGAAAATTCTATCTTTGCAGATGGAATTAAGTTAAGGATCTCAAGATGAGATCTTCCTAGATTATCTGGGTGGGCCATAAATCTTAGAAGGAGAAGACAGAGAAAGCCATGTGAAGACTGAGGCAGAGATGGGAGTTATGTAGCCATAGGGAATGTCTGCAGCCACTAGAAGCTGGAAAAGGCAAGGAGGGTATTCCCAAGAGCTTTTGAAGGGAGTATGACCCTGTCAACATCTTGATTTTGGACTACTAGACTCCAGAATTCTGAGAGAATAAACTCCTGTTTATTAATCCACCAAGTTTGCAATAATTTTTATGACAGCCCTAGGAAATGAATACATGCGTGTTTTATTAGACAAATAGCACTGACTGAGCCCCTACTTCATACCAGACTTTGCAGTAGATGTTTTTTAGAAGTTATCCCCTGTAGCAACTTCATTAGGTAAGGCATCTTATACCCATTTTTTCAGATGATAAAAACTAATGCACATAGAGATTTAGTAACTTGCTAACATTCTCACAGATTAGAAGAGCTGAGACTTCCACTTTTATTTCCAATATGCAAAGAACTTAGAAGTCATCACTCTTTTGAAGTCATCACTCTTTTTAAGTCATCACTTGGAAATCTTTGTTACAGCAAGAAAAATCTGGACAAACCAAAATTCAATGACTTTTCTTCTACCCATCAGAGAACTGAAGTCATAGGTCAACATATCATTTTCAAATCTGTAGCAACACTATAGACACATGCACATGCATGTTTATTGTGGCACTATTCACAATAGCAAAGACTTGGAACCGACCCAAATGTCCATCAATAATAGACTGGATAAAGAAAATGTGGCACATATATACCATAGAATAGTATGCAGCCATAAAACAAGGATGAGTTCATGTCCTTTTCAGGGACATGGATGAAGCTGGAAACCATCATTCTCAGCAAACTATCACAAGGACAGAAAACCAAACACCGCATGTTTTCACTCATAAGTGGGAGTTGAACAATGAGAACACATGGACACAGGGAGGGGACCATCACACACTGGGGCCTGTTGCGGGGTGGGGAGCTGGGGGAGGGATAGCATTAGGAGAAATACCTAATGTAGGTGACAGGTTGATGGATGCAGCAAACCAACATGGCACATGTATACCTATGCAACAAACCTGCATGTTGCGCACATGTACCCTAGAACTTAAAGTATAATTTAAAAAAATAAATAAATAAAATAAAGTTATAATTCTTCTAAAAAAAGAAAAAAGTCTGCAGCAACAGACTCCTTCAGAGAGATACAGTACAGAAAGAATTGTTTACTTGGAGCAGAAGATGCTAGACACCATAAGTTAGTAAGAACATTTAAATGAAGATGCTAGACACCGTAAGTTAGCAGGAACATTTAAATAGTAAATGTGATGAATTTCTGGAAACTGAGGGCAGACCAGCATTAGAGTGAGTCACTCCTGGGGGCCCTGGTCATGGGATAGCCTCACATATTGTAGGCTTTCCCTTTAAAAACAGCACCAGATTTTCATGGTTAGGCTCTGAGAAAAATCCCCTCATGGCCTTCGCAGGGGAAAGGAAAGAGAATGTGTCCTATACTTTGTGCCTAACAAAGGCCTAGTCCCCAGGGGAATAAATTTTCCTGAGGGCAATTTTGAAACCTTATCCCAGCTTGTGAAGTGGAATTCTGCCCCACTTGAGCATATCTCACCTAAAGAAAAAGGAAAAATCCTAATTATCAGGGTATATGACATCCAGGAAATGGATTGAGAACACTGAAGCGATGAATGGAAGTAGGGAAAGTAGAGGAAAAACCTCTACCCCTTGAGGAGGGAGGGACAGAAACACCTGTGAAGGCCACAGCCCCAAGAAAAAGTCTCACTAAATGAGACTTATGCAGAAGTTTATAGAATGCCCCCCACCTCCGCTCCACCTTACCGTCACACCAATAAGCCTCCAGTATAGTAACAATGTATTACAGCTGAAAGACCTGCAAGACACATTCTTGAAGACTTGTACCAAGAATATCCCCCAAATCAAGAAAAAAGACAAAAAAATAGAAACAAAAACAAAAACAAAACAAACACTAGAGGAATTTAAAGCCTCTGGTATCTATAGCTGCAACAAACATTAGACATGACCCAACTGCTAGCCAGATAAATAAAGGTAATCTCATACTAAAGGTATATTTACCTGAGTCCCTTTTACCTGATATGATATACCTGGCTTTCAACAAAAAATTACAAGGCATGCGAAAACATGAGGAAAAAACACAGTCTAAAGAGACAAGGCGAGGCAGGGTATGGTGGCTCATGCCTGTAATGCCAGCACTTTGGTAGGCCGAGGCGGGCAGATCACTTGAGTCAGGAGTTTGAGACCAGCCTGGCCACGTGATAAAACACCGTGTCTACTAAAAATACAAAAAAAAAAAAAAAAAAAAAAATTAGCTGGGCATGGTGGTGCATGCCTGTAATCCCAGCTACTCCAGAGGCTAAGGTAGGAGAATCACTTGAACCTGAGAGATGGAAGTTGCAGTGAGCTGAGATCATGCCACTGCACCCCAGCCTGGGCAACAGAGTGAGACTCCACCTCAAAAAAATAAAGAAAGAAATAGAGAGACAAAGCAGTCATCAGAACCCGACTAACATATGAAACAGATGTTGGAATTAACAGACAGGAAACTTAAAATAACTATGATTACCATGTTAAAGCCTCTGATGAAAAAAATAGACAACATAAAATACCAAAAGGGTAAATAGGATTAACAGCAAAACAAAACCAAAAACCTTAGGCTTATCCTATTCAAGCTACAGTATAACATATCAAGAAAAGGATAAAATCTTGCAGAAAACCAGAGGGGGATAGAAATCACTTAAACTATAGAAGAACATCCATAAGAATTACAGAAGACTTTTCACCAGAAACTATGCAATCAAGAAGAGAATGGAGAAAAATCTTTGAAGTATTCAAAGAAAAATCTGCCAACCTATAATTCTATGTCTGGCTAACATGTTTCAAAGGTGACAGAGAAATAAAGACTAAACTCGTATATACACAAAGAAGCAACATAAAAAAAAGGCATAATTGAAGGTAAAGTTAAATATTTTCTTTTTCTCACTTTTTTTTTTTTTTTTTTTGAGACAGAGTGTTGCTCTGTCACCCAGGCTAGAGTGCAGTGGTGTGATCTTGTCTCACTGCAACTCCACCTCCTGAGTTCAAGCAATTCTCCTGCCTCAGCCTCCCTGGTAGCTGGAATTACAGGCGTGCGCCACCACGCCCAGCTAATTTTTGTATTTTAGTAGAGACGGGGTTTCACCGTGTTGACCAGGCTGGTCTCAGACTCCTAACCTCAAGCAATCCACTTAATTAATCTAAAATATAACTTCATTTAAAGCAATAGTAGTAGCAATGTATCGGGTGAACTGAATGACAGCAATGCTGCAAGGGAAGGGAGGAATTAGGAAGTCTTTGTTATTAGGTACCTGCACTTGTAATAAACGAGTACAGAGTTATTTGAGGATAGATTTAGATCATTTAAAAATATCTATTGTTGATCTATGGCAACTCCTTAAAAAGTTATAAAAATCAGCATAAATTATACACCAAAAGAGGAGATAAAATAGAATCATATAAAATGCTCAGGTAAATCAATGGAAGGCAGTAAAAGAAGAGGAAAATGCACAACAAATGCAATGAGTAGAAAACAAGTGGACAGATGATAGATTTTTATCTGAATATAGCAATAATCAATTTAAATGTGAATAGTATAAGCATGCCACATAAAGGTAGAGATTGGCAGATTGCACTAAAAAATTAGACCACAATATGCTGTCTCCAAAAAAACCCACTTCAAATTTAGACTCTGATAAATGCTACATGACAGAAGTATTACAGTAGAGACATTAGTACTCTAGTCCCAGGTCTCTCCCTAAATTGATATAGATTACACGGTCACTTTTCTGGTACTTGTTTTCTTTTGTTCTCACGTTGTTATGGGGTTTTTTTTTTGTTTGTTTGGTTGGTTTTTGTTGTTGTTGATTTTTGTTTTTTGTGTTTTTTTGAGATTGAGTCTCACTCTTTCACCAGGTTAGAGTGCAGTGGCACAATCTTGGCTCACTGCAACCTCCGCCTCCTGGGTTCAAGTGATTCTTCTGCCTCAGCCTCCCAAATAGCTGAGACTACAGGTGCATGCCGCCACACCCAGCTAATTTTTGTATTTTTAGTAGAGACAGGGTCTCACGATGTTGGCCAGGATGGTCTTGTTCTCTTGACCTCATAATCAGACCACCTTGGCCTCCCAAAGTGCTAGGATTACAGGCGTGAGCCACCGCACCCAGACATGAGTTTTTATGTAAAATTTTTTCTAAGGAATTTAAACCTGGTTTGGTGTGAGGCAGGCTCCAAATCTTCATAATTTTTCACATCCATGTTATCCCATCGTACCTCACACCCCACACAGGATTTCTGCCAATATTCTTATAAGGTAAGTTTGCCAGATTCTAGGTTAATTATTTTTAGGTGAGCATTTTTCTAGTAACCTCTGAATTAAACAATAAATTAAGACCTGGTTGCAAACTGAACAAATAGCTTGATTAAATTACACACTAAAGTGAATTTGTTTAATGGGAGTTATCTTAATGTAGTGCAGTTCTGCAGTGCAAGCCACAGAACTTGGTAAATATTCAATTTAGGCAACTAAAATGTGGGAGATCAGAAAAAAGTCAATGCCTTACTTTGATCTGACTTGATTCTTATAATAGATATTATCTTATATTGATCACTGGAAAGAGAATATACTTAGTTTTTAAAAGAATAAAATATCTAAATGAAATTATCCTAAAATATCATTGCCATTTCTTAGATTAACTTACATAAATTCACTTGATAGTAATGGTAAAAGCAATGTACCAAAATTTTGTTAAAATTGGAATACAAAATTGAGGTTGACATTTATTTGTTACCATCAATCAGTACAAGACCAATCATTTACTCTAAAATGCACAAGACTGTAAACTTTTGGGGGAGCAAATTCAGCTTCTAGTATGTACTTTGTTTATAAATGCTTCTATGAAATGAAGCTATAATGGTCAATAGGTTAAAGGTTTATATATTAGATGTTTAAGTTACGCAAATTACTAACAAATTGCAAATTTAAACAAATGGCCAAATTGAAAACATTAGCAACCAAGAAAAAATGGTAAGAACCCTAACTGTGAAAATGAGAGGTTTTATTGAATAGTTTCTGCATTATATTTTTTGTTCTAAGCTACAGCAGAACAATTAGCCCAGAAAGTACACGACAGATGAACATAATGAAACTTGAAATTTCGGGTACAATAAAAATCTGTCATTGGAAGTTATAGCTATTTCTCAGCTTCCAAAGGATTATCTTAGAAGATCTTGGACTTTCTTTGACAGCCTGGAGATGAAAACTAAAGCTTTTTGAAACTGTGCAACTTTAGATTTAGAAGTACCTTAATTGTGAATATGAAATGGGAGAATTTTTCAATTTGTGATTCAATGCCCATAAACACACTGGAGACTGAAGGGGTTTTCTGAAACCTGGCAACTTTTTTAGTGTTACCTCACGCTATTTCCCTGTATCTAGGCTGAACTGGATGACTTGTCAATCCCATGAAAAATTTTTCCTTTGATGTAAGTGATGGAGAATCCTTTTCTCTATGTAAGAGTCTCGTCTCTCAGTCTGACGGAAACCAACCTATTCTTCATGGCCAGCTGAAATGCCTTTTCCGATCACCAGATCCAGGAATGATGTATTCGTCCTCAAGATTTTCATAGTTGTTTCTACCACTTATATGGAAACTTTTAACTGTAGATATTTATGGAAATATTTTACTTCCCTCTTGGTAAGGATCATGGTGCTTCCTGGAACATAATACATATTCAAAGGATGATAATAAATGAGTTGAGCAGTTTCCATGTTTAGGGAATGACTGGTTAGTTACATGACTGATCCAGTGATTTCTGTTGTCTCAACAGTCCTGTGACATCATTGGGCCACAGTCGAAATGACTGGAGAGAGCTTGCAAAAGTTTAGTTCTGTAGATACCTGTAGACAAGTAACATTGAGTGCCTCAGTCCAGTGGATTTAAAACTGGTGAAGTGCTGTCTGAACTATTAATGTTTAAAATTTGGCCTTTAAGTAACATTGCATAAAAGAATAATATTGTAAATACATAGAGATACTATCTAACCAATGCCACCTGGTTGTTGGACAGTCTCATGTTTTATGTATTGAAGGCTGGTTGTAGACATAAAGCATCCAATGAAGGAGATGATTTGGATTTTATAGAATCGACCATGGGACTCTCTAGTCTTTGCATTTCAAGACTTCAAATTCAATAAAATGTAGAAAATGAAAGGTTGTGAAAGAAAGGAGAAATTATTTTCATCAAGAGAAGAAGATGAAAACATAGGCTTGGTCATGTGAATCTGATATTTGGCAGCTCAGACCTTTTTAGAAACAGTGTTTTAAAGTCTTTTATCAGGAATTGACCATCACCACCATTTCTCAAGTGAATGCCCTGATGCTAGTAAGGTTACTTGAAAAGGACATTATTCTTGTAGCTTCTGCTCCTTGGAATTTTACTGAGAGTAGGATTTAAGAAGGTTAATTACATTATCAAACTGAAAGGCCCCATTAATATGCTGACTCTTGGGAGCGACATTACCTTGCTCTGTCCCCTCCTGTCATTATGTCTTTTACGAACATGATATGGTGGAGTCATTTTAATTATGTAGCCTAACACTAAGACAATGGAGATAGGTAATGTCCTCATTGTGCCCCTTTTAGGTAACAGCTTTTTAAATTCCTTGACAGGGGTCATTTCTTTTTGCTTTGCCTGAGTGGGAAGAGACATATTTGCTGAGCTAATTTTCTCACCAGCAGAGTGAAGGCAACAGTCAAGCTTTCTGAGCTATGAAATGGAGGAGGGGCCCTTTCAGATCCCTAGTGCAGCTTGTTTAAAATTGACCACAACAACACCACGACACTAGCAGAGGGTACATCTTTTTATTTCTGTTGAAGGGGAGAAAAAATACATAATTTATTTTCTTAACCCTCGCAAGTTCTTAGCTGGGACACCTTTGGAAGAAAAGACATAGTCACAGGAAGAAAAAGGTATTCAAATGTGTGAACATTCATGTGGACACAGGAGCCATACACAAAGTGTGAGACTCGAAGCAGGGATCAGGGCCAGGTGCGGTGGCTCATGCCTGTAATCCCAGCACTTTGGGAGGCTAAGGTGGGCAGATCACTTGGGGTCAGGAGTTCAAGACCAGCCTGGCCAACAGGGTGAAACCCCATCTCTAGAAAAAATACAAATATTAGTTGAGCATGGTGGTGCACACCTGTAATCCTAGCTACTGGGAAGGCTGAGGCACGAGAATCGCTTGAACCCGGGAGGTGGAGGTTGCGGTGAGCCGAGATCACACCACTGCATTCCAGCCTGGGCAACAGAGTGGGACTCCGTTTCACAAAAAAAAAAAAAAAAAAAAAAAAAGGAGGGGTCAGATGGCTGACATTTTTATACCAGCCTGAAGTTACAGAAGAGTAGGGGCTTAGGGCTTCTGGGAGGAGGTAGCATCACAGGTTATGTAAGAGTGAGAGAGGAATGCATTGCAAGCAAAGGCTATCTTGTTATGCAGATGAAACCTCACGGGTAGCAGCCCAGCCATTAGAAAGAACAGTTAGTAGCCAGTGGTAAAAGTTTCTCTGCTAGACCTTTAAAAGTCCCAGACTTTTAGTCTCCTTTTACTGTGAGTTAATCTTTCCTAGAGCTGGTTAAGGGGGACTCAGAGAGAGCCTGGGTGTTTATTTCACCAATGTAGATTTTCTCTACAGATGCAAATCTCGCAGCACAAAAGGCAGCTTTGCAAGACTATTTCTGTCTGCAGCCTTTCGGAATAGCCATCTTGAAATATGCCAAAGAAGTATATTTGGGTGACATATTTTGGTCCCCTTCACTGTATAACTGACCCGAATGTCCTCATGAGCCCTATTTTATTGACTGATGAAGGGTCAGGAAGGGGGATAATGAGAGATTTTGGAAATGTGGTTTAATCTTGCCTATTATGTATAACTGAACACTTCCTGGTTATCCTGCCACTGTCTGGTGACTTACTGTCATCTGGGGAAAGTTTCTTCCCAGATCTACTTTCCCTCTGCCTTCCTTTTCTTGCACAGCACTCTGGTGTAAGGCAAGTAGGTTGTGTGCCCTCGTGCCTTTGCATGAGGGACCTTGGACTTTTCCCTGGCTTCTGGTCCTCATTTGGTCCTCCGGTCTCACCTATCTTCATTGAGATGTCATGTCCTATTGTGTATCTGCGTGTTGCCCTCTGCCCTATTTGCATTCACTCTTCAATATTCCTGCATTGATATAGCTCACGGTCTGTTCTCTGGGTATAGTCAATGTAAGGTCTCCCTTCCTCCACACCACCCCATTACTACTGTTGTCTATAACTGGCTAGTGATGTTACCAGAAAGGGGTCCCAGTCCAGACCCCAAGAAAGGGTTCTTGGATCTCACATAAGAAAGAATTCAGGGCAAGACCACAGCGCAAAGCAAAAGCAAGTTTATTAAGAAAGAACAGCTTTATTAATAAAGAACAGCTACTCCATAGACAGAGTAGGGCGTTGCCAAAAGTAAGGGGAGGAATGCATCCACCTTAGGTACAATACTAGTTTATAGATAGATATATATATATATCAAAAGATCATGTGTTGTGCTACATGGGTTTGTGATATAGGATTAATTTTCTTAATTACTATGTTTTGTAAGAATCGATATTATTACCTTTAAAGCAAAATTAAGAATGCTTCTGTTCTCAAGGTATGGGGATATCAGGACACTCCTAAGTCTGGGTCTGTTTAGTAAATGTTATCAATCTGTTTTCTTAACAGTAAGCACCTAGAGGCTAGGAATACCTAACTTTGTGAGAACACAGCCCAACAAGTCCCAGCCTCATTTTTTCCCTAGCCCTTACTCAAGATGGAGTCACTCTGGTTCGAATGCCTTTGACACCATCATCTAAAGGTCCCTCAATCCACACTGTGGAGAGCCCCCAGCAGACAACTTAATTCTTACTTTTTACTTGGTTTTCATTTCTAACACTCAAGGGGCCACAGGAACTTTCTGGATCTCTTTCATCTTCTCCAGCAAGCATGTCAGCATCCATGGCCTCTTTCATGAGGCTGCTCTACTTTGCTCTCTGCCATTCTATGAGGCCGTTTCCTCCCCTGCTGCCAGGAAGGAAGGGGCACGTATGTCCTTCTGCCTTTCAGTCCCCAAGCCCATCCTGGAAGAATATGCACTGTCCATTTGAGGCAGTCAACAGTACATTTTGTTGGATATTGCAACCACAAGAACTTTTTTAAAAATGTGAAAAACAAAATCATTTTATTTCTTATCCTAACCCAGACAGATTAGCTCCCTGGGGAAGCATACTCCTGCAGCCATCTTTTGAAGACTTTTCTCTGCTTGAGACAAACTTTCTTTTTATTTCACTAGAGTTATGTATTCAGTCTAGTTAAAACACATATAGTCTTGGTTAGAGGTCCAAAAAAATCTGTGTGTTGATTGCACGTGATTTATGAAAACCATCTCATTATGCAGATTTACCAGGCACGGGGCCATATTGACAGAGGGGAAAACCCATGTGGGACGAAAAATGGTGATAGCCTTTCTGATGAGAGGATCAAGACTTTGATGGAGCTTATCACCTCTTCCACCAGAGACATCTGCATATTCTCCCTGTTGACATTGTAGGTGCTGTGATTCCCAGACGCGACCCATTGATAGGATCAGCAGGAAATTAGTGCATTGGCTGAGAAGACATTAACTTGAAAGTCACAAAACCGCAAAGGGCCTGGTCTTCTGAATGTTAACTAATGTGTAGCTGCATTTTTAGCTGAGAAGTTATGCTTTTGATCTATGGACTTTAATTTAATTTCTCTCTTGGCCTCTAAGGAGGAGAGCAAAATAAAGTATCCCAAAATGCAGTTTCATTCTTGGCATGTTACAAACGATCAGCAATGATTCCTTTCTGTGTGCTGAATGTGTCAGGGAGAGATCATCACAGAGCAGAGTTCTTGATCCACTTGGGGTTTTTTCCTGGTGGATTTAGGTTAGTGACATGAAAGCATATGTTGCTAAACACTTTTGCCTTAACTGTTTAAATCCATGTGTATTATGTTGGAAACGTCAATCCATAGAGAAATTCTAATTCTTTGGCTCTACCACAAGCATCCAGACTGTGGACTGGTACCATGATCAGGTGTTCATTCACAGCACCAGCACAGCCATCACTTCAGAGCCATTTCCTTCAGATACACAAGCCCAGAAAGTCATACCATGTTTCTTTTCTTTTTTTTAATTATACTTTAAGTTGTAGGGTACATGTGCACAACGTGCAGGTTTGTTACATAGGTATACATATGCCATGTTGGTTTTCTGCACCCGTCAACTAGTCATTTACATTAGGTGTTTCTCCTAATGCCATCCCTCCCCCAGCCCCACACCCGCTGACAGGCCCCGGTGTATGATGTTCCCCTCCCTGTGTCCATGTGTTCTCATTGTTCAACTCCCACCTATGAGTGAGAACATGCGGTGTTTGGTTTTCTGTCCTTGTGATAGTTTACTGAGAATGATGGTTTCCAGCTTCATCCATGTTTCTTAAGTCGTCTTACTAGGTACTACCCCAAATACCATCTCAACTTAATGCTTTGTTATTGAACTTTCATCTGACCTATTTCTTCCACTTTCTAGTTTGTCCCTCATTGTTGACTCTCCTTCCAACAATTTGCAGTATGCCTTCTAACATGCCCATTCAAGTATAACAGTGAGAGAAGTGTTCACTTCCAATTTCTGGGTTTACAGTCGTGTGTCAGTTTATCTACAGGGTGCCAGTTGATGCCACCAGTTTTCAACTCAGTAATGGCTGGGAAATCTGAATGGTACCTCCTATTTGAACTCTAACCTCCAAGGCTATGGGGCAGTTTCATAATTCAGGTCACTATAGACTCCTTCACCACAGGGACCCAAAGGACCTTCTCTCTTCCTTTTGCTGTTTATCTGAGATCTGCCAGATTCTCTTCCTACATTCTGTCAACCTGAAATAAATGAAAGAGTCAGAATCCAGGTTAAAAGTGTTTATTCATGTGCAAAGCTGAGAATGGTCATGTAAGTAACCCAGATTCCAAAGGAATGGGGTCAGTGCTCCCAAGCTGAAAAGTTAAGGTCTTGCTTATACAGGCAGAAAACAAAGAAATTTAACCGGATTATAATATTTTCCATACAAGGCTGGTTTATGAGTTACAGCAATTTGATTAGTTACAGCTTGTTTTATTTCCCTTTTCCAGTTTAGAAGGGTATATTTAATGTTTCAGACTGTGTGATAGTCATGAGGTCTTTGTATAAAAGAAGTAAAAGGGAAGTTAATCTATAATGAAGATCCAACAATGAAGAGGCAAGGGGTCTTCTCTGGTGCCCTTTAATCCTTTATTACATTTTACGAAACAATGTAAGTAAAGTAAAGGCCAATCTATAATCAGAGAAACAAAGGTTACAGCTGCCTAGGTTATAGCTGTCTGTCTTATGACTGAATGTCATAATCACATTTCTTTTTTTTTTTTTTTTTTTTTTTTGGAGACAGAGTCTTGCTCTGTTGCCCAGGCTGGAGTGCAATGGTACAATCTCGGCTCACTGTAACCTCTGCCTCCCAGGTTCAAGCAATTCTCCTGCCTCAACGTACTAAGTAGGTGGGATTACAAACATGTGCGACCATGCCCAGCTAATTTTTGTATTTTTAGTAGAGATGGGTTTCACCATGTTGACCATGCTGGTCTCGACCTCCTGGCCTCAAGTGATGGGCCCACCTCAGCCTCCCAAAGTGCTGGGTTTACAGATGTGAGCCTCTGCACACGGCCACATTCCATTAAGGCTGAAAAAAATTTACAGTTTCAACAGCTTTGGTTTTGAATTATTTATTTTTACAATTTTCAAACACAGAAGCCCCATTGAGTCACTCAGAGTTGATTTACACTCCTCAGGTGATCTAAATCCTTGCTACTCAATGAGGACCAGCAGCAGCAACATTACCCGGGAGCTTGTTAAAAAGCAGAATCTCAGGCTCCCAACCCAGGTTTACTGAATCAGAATCTGCATCTGAACAAGATTTTAACAACGTGATTTATACGCACATTGAAATGTGAGAAGTTCATGTCTAGGTAATGTTCTGGCATCTCCATTTTTTTAAGAGGAGAAAAAATAGAGTTTTATCTCAGTTGCTGAATCTTTGCTATATATAGAAACTCTTTTACAGGCTCAGTCTCTTTAGAATTTTTTTTTAGATTTTTGGCCTTAAAAGAAACTTGGTCTTTTTTGAAGGACAGTTTTTGTTATTGTTTTTTTGTTTGTTTTGTTTGTTTGTTTGTTTGTCTTTTGTTGCCATATAAAGTAGGGACGGATCTTTGCATACAGGTCCCATATCTGTATATTTGAGGTGTGGAGGCAGAAAAGGCAGAATTTGCCTAACTTTATTTTCGCTTCAAGACTTTTAAATGTCCTCATTCTTTTAACAATTTTCTTACTTCCTCCTCCCATTGAATAGCCTCCAGGGCCTTTGCCAGACACACCTTAAAACCACCTGTTGTCCCTGTGCGCATGTGCCCGCACAGTTGGGTGTTGCAGGTACAAGATGCAGCGCCTTAATCACAGGTGCTTTCCACCCTCACCTGGGCCCTCAGGACCTCTCAGCAAACCTTTTACTAATTCCTTGCCAGCAGCCTCTCTCATTTCTTATAGTAGCACTTCTAACTTCTCACCACTTCCTTCAAATTTCAAGTATCATCCTCAGCTCCCTCAAAAGATTGTCAGGCCTTCTGGTTCATAGGAAAAATAAGGAATACACATACTCATACCACGCTTTTAAACTGATTTCACTTTCTAGTCAAATTCTTTCTTTCTATCTCAGAAAAAGGGTTTTGACTCTGTTTCTACCTAAATCAAATTCCTTACACCGTTGAGTCTTGAGCAACGTAGAGTTTAGGGGCACCAACTCCCATGCAGTCAAAAACCCATCTGTAACTTTTGACTTCCCCAAAAACTTAACTACTAATGACCTATTGTTGACCAAAAGCTTTACTAATAACATAAATAGTTGATGAACATATATTTGTACATTATATATATTATGCCCTATTATTATATATCCAAGAATAAAAGAGCATTCAACATACTTGAAGTGGTAGTAAAGTACCACTGTGTTCTTACGATAATGTGTTCTTATAATAAAGTAAGCTAGAGAAAAGAAAATAGTGTTAAGAAAATCTAAAGAAAGAAGGCTGGGCGCAGTGGCTCACACCTGTAATCCCAGCACTTTGGGATGCTGAGATGGGTGGATCACTTGAGGTCAGGAGTTCAAGACTGGCCTGGCCAACATGGTGAAACCCTGTCTCTACTAAAAATACAAAAAATAGCTGGGCATGGTGGCATGTGTCTATAATCCCAACTACTCAGGAGGCTGAGACAGGAGAATCGCTTGATCCCAGGAAACGTGGGTTGCAGTGAGCCAAGATCACACCACTGCACTCCAGCCTGAACAACAGAGCAAGACTCCATCTCAAAAATAATAAGAAGAAGAAGAAGAAAGAGAAAGTGCATTTCCTATGCATTAAGTAGGAGCTGATCATCATAAAGGGCTTCATTATTATTTTCAGGTTGAGTAGGCTGAGGAGGAGGATGAAGAGGAGGGGTTGGTCTTGCTATCTTTCGTGGCAGAGGTGGAAGAAAGTCCACCTATAAGGGAACCCGTGTAGTTCAAACCTGTGTTGTTCAAGCATCAACTGTACTTTGATTCTAATTCTGTCCTATCTCCTGAAGTACTTTCCTTATTTATAATTCTCTCTCATCTGTAGTTTCAACGTTTTCTATCCAAGTGTTCAGAGAAGTCTCTTGAGCTTCCAAACTAAATCAGGATCTGTTGTTTTAATCTTTCATTGTTCCCTCTAGTTTTCCTTTACAGAACTTTTCACTTTATGTAACTGTTTGTAGGATTATTTATATATATTTCTTGTTTGCCAGACTGTGTGTGCCATGTTCTTGTCTAGCGAGCTTGATATAGACATTTTTTTAATATGAAAAAGACTTGAGGGCAAAGTACAGTAAAGCTCCTGAGGAGATGGTAGAAAATAAGATGAAGAGGGATTTGCCTTGGACAGGAAAACAGAAACCTTTTCCTCAAAGTCCAACAGAAAACAGGAGAAAGGAGCTATAAAGACAGATAAATGTGTATGGAGGCTGTATATTGATGGCATTAATATTTGCTAACCTTCATTTTCTAATTGAAGTGAGAGACAAGGGAAGATTATAACTGAGGCCACTTAAAAATCAGATTGAGAATTATTGATACAGTTTTACCACTGGGTTTTTTTTTATCCTAACCTTCTAACTTTTAAGACTCAGAATACTACGTTATATGTCTACCAAAGGCAGAGGGAAGGGATTTACCAAAATAAACGAAAATATATGTCTACAATAAGCTCTGTGCAAGAATGTTCATAGCATTTTTTATAAGAGCCATAAACTGGAAAAAATTTGAAGGTCTATATACAAATTGTAGTAGATTCATACAGTGGAAGTGACTCAGCAACTTGGAACACGAATACAGGTAATGACATGGATGACAATCAAAAGCAGTATGTTGAGCAAAAGATGCCAGACGTGGCCGGGCGCGGTGGCTCACGCCTGTAATCTCAGCACTTTGGGAGGCCAAGGCGGGTGGATCACGAGGTCAGGAGTTTGAGACCAGCCTGGCCAACGTAAGTGAAACCCCATCTCTACTAAAAATACAAAAAATTAGGTGGGTGTGGTGATGGATGCCTGTAATCCCAGCTACTCGGGAGGCTGAGGCAGGAGAATTGCTTGAACCTGGGAGGCAGAGTTGCAGCGAGCCGAGATCACACCACTGCAATCCAGCCTGGGCGACAGTGTGAGACTCCATTTCAAAAAATAAAAAGTAAATAAAAAGAAGCCAGACGCTAGCAAGTGCATAGTGTGAGATTTCATTTCATAAAAGCAAAACTAAAACGTGGTGACAGAAATGAGAATCCTAGTTTTTTTTTGTCAGGGCATGGGGTGATCTTGGTGTGAAAGATCAGGAGGGCATTTAAATTTTTACCACAATGGAAATGTTTTATACCTTAATCGACGTGGTGCATACATTTGTCAGAACTTTGCAAGTTTTGGACTAAAATTCTGTGCATATAATCTGTGCAAAACTGTATGTATAAATTATCCCTCTGTCAAATAGGGCTATACCTTTTAGTTAAACTTCTGTATATTGCTTTTGTTTTGAGCAACTTCATAGAAGTGATTGAGAAATTGAACCATGGTGAAAGATTGGAACAGTCACCATAAAGAATGGGGGAGGAAGCTGACCATAAACTCAAGTTCCTGAGTGTTTCCTCCCTTTCCTTCTCTCTCAGTCTGTGTTGGGCACCTCATGTATGTGAGCCTGTAGGCGGCTGTTCTTAAGTCTGTCCTAGCACTTACCACGTTGGAATTGTTGGGACTAAGAATGCAATACCCTGAAGCAGCCTCAGAAGCAAACTTTTTCTCTGACCTTCTCCTGACCTGTTCCATTCTCCCCAGAGACTAGAATCCCTCTGGCCCGAGGCGGGTCATGGAAATCAGAACCCCTTCTCCTCAAAGCCAGCCGTAAAAGTAGTCATAAAGAAGTTATCTGACCTGCCTTGTTGGACTGTAGGTCCTAAGACCCCCAGTCCAGAGAGAGCTCTGCCCCATACCCAGAAGGAAGGAATGCTGCTCAGAGAGGCCAGAAGAATCTAGAGGGACAGGCGTTGCTGGGCTTCCCCACTCAGTCTAGTAGCATTAGATCATTCCCTTTCTGTCCAGTCATATTCCAGACTTTGTTGACTCGAAGCATAAAAATGGACAATTTCCTCTATATCTTTGGGTCTTCATCCAGAAGGCTTCCATATACACATTAAGTTCGTGTGCTTTTTCTCCTATTAATCTGCCTCTTGTCAATGATTTTCAATGAACCTTCAGAGGGCAAAGGAGAGGCTTTTCCTTCATGCCTATATGATCTATTTATCTGTTTCCTCACTTCAGATACTGTTCAAATAGGTTTCTTAAGAGTGACCCCTCCATTCTTTTTACCATGTCTCTCCACAGTGCCAGTATCCCCATTATTACACGATGTATACTCATTATTGTGGAATGAACAAAAGGAGAGAACAAATTGGTGGAAAATGAATTACCAAGCAGCAGTAAGAAAGGCTGGGGATGGCAACTGCAAGTTTATAATGGAGGTCTAAGCATTTTGTAAATTCTTCAGGATTTCAGGCCTTAGTCTTGGATTAAAGGCAGTAGTCAGAATGATTTAACTTTCTCCTCTATACACAGCTTGCCTTAGTAGGCGGTGAAGTCCTTCTGGGTAGAAATGATGCTTCTGTTATGTTATTCCCTCGCAGTGCCCAGCAGAGTCCTAAATGAATCTGGTTTAATAATCAGGTGAGTGGCCGGGCACGGTGGCTCAGGCCTGTAATCCTAGCACTTTGGGAGGCCGAGACCAGCCTGACCAACATGGTGAAACCCTGTTTCTACTAAAAATGCAAAATTGGCTGGGCATGGTGGCACATGCCTGTAATCCCAGCTACTTGGGAGGCTGAGGCAGGAGAATCACTTGAACCCAGGAGGCGGAGGTTGCAGTGAGCCGAGATTGTGCTACTGCACTCCAGCCTGGTGACAGAGCGAGACTCCATCTCAAAAAATAAATAAATAAATAATCTGGTGAGTGGATCCCAGTAGTGCTTTGCTGGAGGCAGATACAGGAGTGGGAGAGCCCCTTCATGAGGGTTTGGAAATGGGTCCTGATGCTTTTTTGCAGTAATTAGGTTTTGATGCAAACTCAAAATCCTTAGTGAAGATAAAACACTTGATGGAATTCCATTATCCTTCCCAACCAAGTCCTCTTCTGATAGTAAGGTTGGCACTTAGGGAAGTGCTCACATCATCAGAATAGCATGATATCCATTGTATTGGCACAGTACTTTTTTTTTTTTTTTTTTTTTTGAGACGGAGTCTCGCTCTGTCACCCAGGCTGGAGTGCAGTGGCGCGATCTCGGTTCACTGCAAGCTCTGCCTCCTGGGTTCACGCCATTCTCCTGCCTCAGCCTCCCGAGTAGCTGGGACTACAGGCACCTGCCACGACGCCCGGCTAATTTTTTGTATTTTTAGTAGAGACAGGGTTTCGCTGTGCTAGCCAGGATGGTCTTGATCTCCTGAACTCATGATCCGCCTGCCTTGGCCTCCCAAAGTGCTGGGATTACAGGCGTGAGCCACTGCGCCCGGCTGGCACAGCACTTTTTTTGTTGTCATTATAAGCAATGATAAAATAAGTATCTTTGTGTATGTGTGTGAGTATATATCTTTGTGCACATTTATTTGCGAGTATACCAATAGTGTAAATTTTTAAAATAGTGCATGTGCTGAGTTATAAAAGTAATAACTATAAATTTATAAGTATTGTAAAAGTATCCTACAAAGAAACTAACAAGTGTATGAAAACTCTTGCTGCCTATCTCTTCTTCAAAGTGGTGTATTATAAATTTTTTGTTTTCATGTTACGAATGTATTGAGTGAAAACTTGTATTCATATGTTTTAATTAGAATTTATTGAAGTATGAATGAGATTATTCATCATTTAATATGAATCATTTGTATTTGACTTTTACGTGAACATCCTGTTTACATTTCTGCCTGCTTTGCTATTGGTTTTCTGGTCTCTTTGTCAATTTCTCAAAGTTTTTCCATTCATTCACCAACCACTTATCATATGCCAAGCACTACTTTGGACACTGAAGATACAGGCATAAGCAAGACAAATAAAATCACTGCTCTCATGAACTGTGTCTAAGTGGGCAATTAAAACAAAGATACATAAAATCTAATATCAGTAAATATAAAATGTGACAGCAAAATGATGAGTGCTGGGGAGACAACATGGAAGAATACACTTTCCATTTTCAGTTGATTGCAAAAATGTCTTCACAGTGTGGTACCATTTTTTTTTTTTTTTTGAGACAGAGTTTCACTCTTGCTGCCCAGGCTGGAGTGCAAAGGCTCGATCTTGGCTCAGTGCAACCTACGCCTCCCGGGTTCAAGCCATTCCCATGCCTCAGCCTCCCAAGTAGCTGGGATTATAGGCATGAGCCACCAAGCTCGGCTAATTTTTTTTTTTGCATTTTTAGTAGAGATGGGGTTTCACCATCTTGGTCAGGCTGGTCTGAAACTCCTGACCTCAGGTGATCCACCCGCCTCGGCCTCCCAAAGTGCTGGGATTACCAGCATGAGCCATCCCGCCGGGCCTATTTTTTTAAGACTATGCTTTTCAGAGGAGTTTTAGGTTCAGAGGAAAATGAAAGAAAGGTAAAGAGATTTCCTGTATACCTCTTACTCTCATATACCTCAGTCTTTTCCACTACCAACAAGTCCCAACCAGAGTAGTACATTTGTTACGGTTCAGTGAACCTCCACTGATGCATCATTATCGCACAGGGGCCATCATTATCGCACTGACGCGTCATTATCACACAGGGTTCATCATTATCACACAGGGGCCATAGTATACATTAGGGTTTATCATTGGTGTTGTGCATTCTATGGGTTATAATGACAAGAATCCACTACTGGAATATCATATAGAGTCATTTCAGTGCCCTAACAATCCTCTATGCTCTACCTGTTCATCTCTTCCACCCCTGACAACCAGTGATCTTTTTACTCTCTCCATAGTTTTGCCTTTTCCACAAAGTCGCATTGTTGGAGTCATACAGTGTGTGGCCTTTTCAGATTGACTTCTTTCACTTAGTAATATGCACTTAAGGTTCTGCCATGACTCCTCATGGCTTGGTAGTTCATTTCTTTTTAGAACTCAATGATGTTTTGTTGTCTGGGTATACCAGTCATTTATTTATTTATTTTTATTTTGTTTATAGTGCCTTTTCTTCTTTTCTGTATAGAAATTTTTAAATTTATGTGAATTCATATTTATCAGCCATTTGTTTTATGGCTGCTAGGTTTTGTATCTTAATTAGAAAGCCTTACTATTTTACTATTTATCCTTACTATCTTACTTTTAAAATTGTTGCCTTTTTTATACCGTACAGTTCATTTAAACCTCAATCTTTTGTTTTTGCTTTGGGGCACCTTTTGGAATTCTCTCAATTGACTTCTTACTCTTATTTCAAATAAAAGATTTTCCAAACTGGATGGAAGAGATGCTAACATTTTTATTGTTGTTGTATAGCTATATTGTGTTAGGTCCTGTACTATTCACTTTCACATTCATAATTTCATTTTGAAAAAGTAAAAATTAGCCTATGAAAACACACACACACATGAACACACACACATATCCAGATAATTATTCCCATAATATTGTAATACCTGAACCAATGCTGTCCAAGAGTTTCTTAATGATGTAAGGGTTCTATATCTGCAGTGTCCAGTAAGGTGGTCACTAGCTGCATGTGGGTAATGAGCACTTGAAGTGTAGCTAGTGAAAATGAGGAACTAGTCAGGCACGGTGGCTCACACCTGTAACCCCAACACTTTGGAAGGCTGAGGCAGGTGGATCACCTGAGGTCAGGAGTTCGAGACCAGCCTGGCCAACATGGTGAAACACTGTTTCTACTAAAAAAAAAAAAAAAAAAAAAATTAGCTGGGTGTGGTGGCACGCACCTGTAATCCCAGCTACTCGGGAGGCTGAGGCATGAGAATCACTTAAACCCAGGAGGCAGAGGTTTGCAGTGAGCTGAGATTGCGCCATTAAACTCCAGCCTAGGTGACAGAGGGAGACTCTGTATAAAAAAAAGAAAAGAAAAGAAAAGAAAAGAAATAAATGAGGAATTAATTAGCTACATATGGCTAGTGGCTAACATATTGAACAGTACAGTTCTGGACCATTCAGTGCTGAAAAAAAGAAAGTCTTACCATCTTACAACCTAATTCACATTGAAGACATGAGTAAGGAGACTTAAAATATTTCCTTCTTTGTTTTCAGATGTTTTGAGTTTTATACCTATTAAGGGATAATTAATACACAACCTGGATAGCTGTAAAGTATAAAATTTTGATGCATTTGGACACATGAATATATCCCTAAAACCACAGCCATAATCAAAATAGTAGAAATTTTTATTCTCCCCAAAAGTTTCCTTGTGCCTTTTTGAAACCCATTTTTCTTCATTTTCCCTCACCCCGCCCCATCCCTAGTCACCACTGGTCTGCTTCTTGTCAGGAATGAGACCTCCTTTCCCCCATCCACATTTCAGTGAAGATCACGAGAGGAGACTGGATATCCCACACCAACCTGGTAGTAATAACACCCCACTTCTCCACCCTGGAGTGGTGTCAGAAGAAGCCTAAGGGAGCATCGAGACTTCTGCCATCAAACAGTGGTGACCAGGCCACCCTCACTGCAGTGTCAAATTTCTACCCTCAGCAGGTGGTCATGAAACAGCATTTCCCTCTTCCGGAGGAGTGGTGTCATCAAAAGCCAACGACAACCCAGAATCGCATAACAAAATACAAAGATGTCCAGCTTTCAATTTTAAAAAACATTCATCAGGCCAGGCTCAGTGGCTCACGCCTGTAGTCGCAGCACTTTGATAGGCCGAGGTGGGTGGATTGTTTGAGGCCAAGAGTTTGGGAACAGCCTGGCCGACATGGCGAAACCCCGTCTCTACTGGGAAAAAAAAAAAATTAGCCGAGCGTGGTGGCACATGCTTGTAGTCCCAGCTACTTGGTAGGCTGAGACACGAGAATCATTTGAGCCTGGGAGGTAGATGTTGCACTGAGACAAGATCACACCACTGCACTCCAGCCTGGGTGACAGAGTGAGACGCTGTATTAACAACAACAACAACAAAATACTCATCGTACCAAGAACCAGGAAGACCTCTAACTAAATGGAAAAAATATATATATCAATAGTGGTCAAGATTGAGATGACAGAGTTAATAGATTAGCTTACAAAGATTTTGAAGTATCCATGACAAACTTGTCCAACTTGTGGCCCAGGACATCTTTGAATATGGCCCAAAAGCAATTCGTAAACTTTCTTAAGACATTATGAGGTTGGTTGTTTTTTTTGTGATTCTTAAAAATCTCATCAGCTATCATTAGTGTTAGTGTATTTTATGTGTAATTCTTCTTCCAGTGTGGCCAGGGAAGCCAAAAAAGATTGGACACCCCTGATCTATGATAAAAATTATTTAATAATAATAATAATAATATGCTTTAAGCATATTACAAACTAGAAGGCCTCAGGAAATAAACTGAAATTCTCAGCAAAGAAATAGAAGTTATAAAAAAATGGAAACTTTAGGACTGAAAAGGACAACATCAAAAAGGAAAACTCAGTGGATGGGCTCAATGGCAAAATCGATAAGATGGAAGAAACCACTAAGTCAGTGAAATAGAAGACAGAACAACAGAAATTACCTAATCTGAACAGCGGAGAGAAAACAGACTGACAAAAAGGAGCACGGCCTCTGGGATGGAGATCTTTTGTGGGTTTATAACAAAAGATCTAACATTGGTGCCATTGGAGTTATGAAAGGATAGGAAAAAGATAAGGGGACTAAAAAAGTGCTTGAAGAACCTTTCCTCAGCTGCCACCAAGGTGCTCGGTCCATCCGCGTCCGGCAGCGCCAGCCCCACACTCACCCGTGCCATGGCCTTCGTCTCCCAGCTCGCCTGCATCTACCTGGCCCTCATTCCGCACGATGATGAGGTGACCGTCACGGAGAATAAGATCAATGCCCTCATTAAAGCAGCCGGTGTAAATGTTGAACCCTTTTGGCCTGGCTTGTTTGCAAAGGCCTGGCCAAAGTCAACATGGGGAGCCTCCTCTGCAATGTAGGGGCTGGTGGACCTGGTCCAGCAGCTGGCTCTATCTGTACCAGCAGGAGCTTCTGCCCGCCTCTGCTGCTGCTGCTCCAGCTGAGGAGAAGAAAGTGGAAGCAAAGAAAGAAGAATCCGAGAAGTCTGATGGTGACATGGGCTTTGGTCTTTTTGACGAAACCTCTTTTATAATGTGTTCAATAAAAAGCTGAACTTAAAAAAAAAAAGTACTTGAAGAAATAATGGCTTAAAAACATCACAAGCATAGCAAAGATATAAACCTTCAGTTGAAGAAGCTGAGAGAAGCCCAAATAGGATAAATAAGCCCAACGAAATGCATACCAAGCCACTTAATAAACATTTGAAAACTGCAGACAACCACAAAACAAACATCTTGAAAGCAGTCAGGGAAAAATGACACATTAACTAGAAGAGAAAAATGATTCAAACCACAGCAGCGTTCTCATGAGAAAAACCGTGGATGCCAGAAGAAAGTGCCACAAAATTTTTCCTTTCCTGCTGAAAAGAAAGAACTGTCAATCCGTAATCCTCTGCCCAGCAAACATTTTTCCTGAGGCATAACGGGGAAATGAAAACATTCTCAGATGAAGGAAAACTGAGAGAATTTGTCACCAGCTGACGAACTCTAACAGAATGATTAAAAGGAATTTTCTAAATAAAAGGGAAACGATAAGAAAAGGAACCTTGGAATATCAGATAAGAACAAAACGTGGTAAGCAAACATGTAAGAAATACAATAGACTTATCTTCTCTGATTTTCTGAAAATTTTGTTTTTTCCTGAGACAAAGTCTTGCTCTGTTGCCCAGGCTGGAGTGCAGTGGCACGATCTCCGCTCACTGCAACCTCTGTCTCCTGGATTCACGTGATTCTCCTGCCTCAGCCTCCTGAGTAGCTGGGATTACAGGCATGTGCCCCCTTCTCGACTAATTTTTGTATTTTTAGTAGAGATGGGGTTTCCCCATGTTGGTCAGGCTGGTCTCGAACTCCTGACCTCAAATGATCTGCCCACCTCGGTCCCCCAAAGTGCTGAGATTACAGGTGTGAGCCACTGCACCCATCCTTCTGAATTTTTTTGATTGTTTTGATTGTTGAAGAAAAAAATGTAACAACGTCTGATATGATTCTAAATGTACATAGAGGAATTAGCTAAAAAACATTAAAAATTGGGGAGAGTAAAGGAACATGAAGAGACATAGGGTTCCATACTTCACTTTACTCAAATTGGTAAAGTGATTACACCGGAAGGCTATAATAAGTTGTGTGAATATAATTTTATCATCAACTAAAAAGAGCTGCACAATAATGCATTCAAAAATATTTAGAGCTAGGTGCGGTGGCTGACACCTGTAATCATACTTAGCAGTTTGGGAGGCTGAAATAGGAAAATTACTTGAGCCCAGGAGTTTGAGACCAGCCTGGGCAACATAACAAGACCCTGTCTCTAAATAATAACAGCAATAATAATAATAATGATAATAATAATAAAAACATAGTCGGGCATAGTAGCATGTATCTGTGTTCCCTCTTCAGGAGGCTGAGCTGGGAGGATCACTTAAGCCCAGGAGGCTGAGGCTGCAGTGAACCATTTTCATGCCACTGCATTCCAGACTGGGTGACAAAGCAAGACTGTAAAAACAAGCAAACAAACAAACAAACTTAGAAAATTGAAATGGATTTTAAAAAATATTAATGCAATCCACTGGAAGGCAGGAACAAGAAAAAAAACCCACAAAAAATAAAATGGCATACTTAAGCCCTATCAGTAATTACATTAAATATACCATCACATATCGGTAATTACATTTAATACAAGTAATTACTTAAATATACTATTTAAAAGACAGAGGCCAGCAGAGTGGATAAAATCATGGCTCAACTACATGCTATCCCCAAGAAACTTGCTTCAAATATAACAACATAGTCAGGTTGTAAGTAAAAGAATAGAAAAAAGATGTGTTGTGCAAAATTGATTAAAGGAAACCTGGAATAGGTATATTAATTTCATATGAAGCAGACGTCACCACAAGGAAAAGTGGAAGCAATAAAGGGGGTCATTAGATAATAATGAGGAGCTCATTTTTCCAAGAAGACGTAGCAAACTTAAATGTGTATGTATCTAACAAGAGAGATTCAGAATACATGAGGCAAATGGATAGAACTGAAAGAAGAACTAGACTATTCCATTATTAGAGCTGAGACTTTAACACTCCTTTATCAGTAACTGATAGATCCATAGATCAAGCAGGCAGAAAAATCAGTAAGGATGTAGATGACCTGAACAACATGATCAATCAGCTTGACCTGATTACAGGATATTCCAACTAACAGCAAAAAGCATGGTGTTTTGCTTTTCATGGTCTCAAGTTCCCATGAAACATTCCCTAAGACCATATTTTGGGCCATTAAACACATCATAATAAGTTTTAAAAAACAGACATTATACCAAGTATGTTCTCTGATCATAATGGAATCAAATTAGAAATCAATGAGAAAAAACTAAAAGGAAAATCTCCAAACATTTGGAAATTAAACAACACACTTTAAATAATATCATTGAAGGATCTTCTGGAAAATAAAAAAAAAACAATAAAAATAAAATGTAACATGTCAATTTGTGGAACACTGCTAAAGCAGGGCTGAGAGAAATATTTATAACATAAATGTATACATTAGAAAAGATGAAAATTTCCAAATCAATCATCTAAACTCCAAACTCTAGAACATAGAAGAAGAGCAAAATAAACCCAAAGCAAGCAAGCGTAAGAAAATAATAAAGAGCATAAATCAATGGAATTGAAAACATTCAAATAATTTAAAAACCAATGAAACAAAGAGCTGGTTCTTTATAAAAATTGATAAATTGACAGTTCTGTAACAAGACAAAAAAAAAAAAAGAAAAGACACAAATTGCCATTTTCGGGAATGAAGCAGGGGAAATGACTACAAAACCTGCAGACATCTAAAGGATAAAAGAATACCATAAACTTAAACACATAATTTGACATCTTATACAAAACTGATCAGTGTCTCAAAAACCACAGACTATTACAACTCACCCTGTATGAAATGGATAATTTGAATAGCGCAATCAATGACTATTAAGAAAATTAAATTCATAATTTAGAAATCTCTAAAAACAAAATCTCCAGGTTCATGGTTTCACTGGAAAAGTCTACCAGACTTTAAAAAAATTCAATTATACACAGTCTCTTCCAGAAAACAGAAGAGGAGAGAATATCTCTCAATTCATTTTATGAAGCTATTATTACCCTGATGTCAAAACTAGAAAAATAACGTAGAGAAAAGAACACAACAAACCAGTATCCTTCATTAAGATGTAAAACTCCTTAGCAAAATATAACAAATAGAATTTAGCAATATATAAAAATAATTATACACCATAACCAAGTGGGTTTATTTCAGAGATGCAGGCTGGTTAAATATTCAAAAATTAACCCTGTAATCCAGCAAATTAACTGGATAAAATAGAAAAATCACATGATCATATTAGCCAATATAGAAAAGCTAGTAGACAAAATTCAAAACTTATTCATAATAAAAACTTTCAAAAAACAGGAATGGAAGAGAAATTCCTCAACTTGATAAAGAACATCTACAAAAACTTTAGGCCAGGTGCTGTGGTTCATGCCTTTAATCTCAGCACTTTGGGAGGCTGAGGTGCAAGGATCACTTGGAGACCAGGAGTTTGAGATCATTGGCTGGACAACATAGTGAGACACTATTTCTACAAAAATTTAAAAAATTAGCCAAGCATGGACAATAGAGGGAGACACAGTCTCAAATAATAATAGTAATAATAATAAGTTTACTTTATATGTAGTTGTAAAAGAGTGAATGTTTTCCTCTAAAATTGAGAACAAGGTGAGGATTTATTTAACATAATGTTGAAATTTCTAGTCAGGGCAATAAAGCAAGAAAAGGAAATAAGAGATACACAGATCAGAAAGGAAGAAATTAAAGCTTCCCCTCTTTGCAGATGGTATTATATTTACCTGTTAAATCCCAAAATATCTGCAAAAAAACCTTCTAGAACTAAGAATCGAGTCCAGAAAGATTACAGGATATGCAATAAATATACAAAAGTAAATTACATTTTTATATACTAACAGTGAACATGTGGATGCTGAAATCAAAAACACAATACTGTTTAAAATTGCCCAAAAATTAAATAGGTGTTAATCAAATAAAGTTTGTTCAGGACTTGTATGCTGAAAACTGCAAAATGCTGGTGAAAGAAATAAAAGAAGATGTAAATAAATGGAGAGACATACTTCAAATCCATGAAGAATAACCTTGTATAAAAGCCAGTTCTCCCCAAATTGATACACAAGTTTAATGAAATTCCTTTCAAAACCCCAGCAAGATTTTTTTGTAGATATAGAGATAATTCTAAGATTTATAGGTAAAGCAAATGAAGTAGAACAGGTAAAACAATTTTGAAAGAAAAATAATGTGGGAGGAATTTATTTTATGTTTATATTATATATTCAAGACATTATATAACTGTGGTAAACAGAACTGTGTGGTGTTGGTAGAAGGATAGACATGTAGATCAATAAAACAGAATAGAGAATCCAGAAATAGATCCACACAAATAGACACAATGGATTTTTGACAAACATGGAAAAGCAATTCAACTGAGGAAAGATAGCTTTGTCAAGAAATGGTGCTAGAGCTATTGGACATTCACGGGCAAAAAGGAAGTTCCACCTAAGTCTCACAACTTATACAAACACTAATACAAAATGGAAAATTAAAACAAAAAAAATTTAGGAAAATAGTAGGAGAAATTATTGGATATCTTGGTCTAGGCAAAGAGTTCTTAGATTTAATACTATAATCTATAAAAAGTTGATAAATTGGACCTCATCCAAATTAAAAACTTTTTTTTTTTCTGAAAAAGACCTTGTGAAGAGGGTGGAACAACAAGGTACAGAGTAAAAGAAATTATCTGTAAACCACATATCCAAGAGAGGACTAGTATGTAGAATATAAAAAGAACTGAAAAAACAATAGCAAAAAAAATTAATTAGAAAATGGTCAAAAGACATGAAGAGACGTTTCACAGAAAAGGATGTACCTACACCAAAAAAGCATATGAAAACATGTTCAATACCATTAGCCACCAGGCAGACACAAATGAAAATCAACACATACTATCAGAAAGGTTGAACTAAAAAATAGGAACACTAATGTTAGCAAGGATGGGAAGAAACTGAATCACTCCTACATCGCTGGTAGGAATGTAAAATGGCTCAGGCCCTCTGGAAAATAGTTTGGCTCTTTCTTTCTCTCTCTCTCTCTTTCTTTCTTTTTCTTTCTTTCTTTCTTTCCTCTCTTTCTTTCTCCTTCTTTCCTTCCTTCCTTTCTTTTCTCTCCTTCTTTCCTCTTTCTTTCTTTCCTTCTTTCTTTCCCTCCCTTCCTTCCTCCTTTCCTTTCCTTTCCTCCTTCCTTCCTTCCTTCCTTCCCTCCCTCCCTCCCTCCCTCCTTCCTTCCTTCCTTCTGTTTCTTTCCTTCCTCCTCTCGCTCTCCCTCTTTCTTTCTTTTTAAATTTCATTTTAATTTTTGAGATGGAGTTTCACTCTTTCACCCAGGCTGGAATGCAGTCATGCAATCTCGACTCGCTACAACCTCTGCCTCCTGGGTTCAAGTGATTCTCCTGCCTCAGGTTCCTGAGTAGCTGGGCCTACAGGTGCACGCCACCATGCCCGGCTAATATTTTTTTTTTTTTTTGTATTTTTAGTAGAGACAAGGTTTCAGCACCTTGGCCAGGTTGGTCTTGAACTCCTGACCTCGTGATCATTCAATACCTCATGGTATTGAAATTACATCTTCAATAATAGAAAACATTTTAAATAGAACCCCAAAAATGGCATCATTAATTGGTATTTTCAATATTTTGTCACAGCAGGAAATATTCAGGGTTATTTTTAAAAAGATTCACTCTTTTCAATCTGGGCCTTGGTCTATACATAGCACTATATAGAGCACGTTCAGTGCCAAAATAATTAGGATTGGCACAAAAGCACTTGGCCTTAGCTGTAGTTCTGTTTTTGTTTTTGTTTTTGTTTATTTTGTGAGACGGAGTCTTGCTCTGTCGCCCAGGCTGGAGTGCAGTGGCGTGATCTTGGCTCACTGCAACCTCTGCCTCCCAGGTTCAAGTGATTCTCCTGCCTCAGCTTCCTGAGTAGCTGGGACTACAGGCGCACGCCACCACGCCTGGCTAATTTTTTTCATATTTATAGTAGAGACGAGGTTCAGCATCTTGGCCACACTGGTCTTGAACTCCTGGCCTCATGATCCACCCATCTCAGCCTTCCAAAGTGCTGGGATTACAGGCATGAGCCAACGCGCCCGGCCTGAGCTGTAGTTTTGACTATGCATAAGTGCATTCATTTTGTCAATCTTTAATGAACTGGGAAATTTCCGGAATTGGAATCCTCTTTGATCTACTTGTACCTTCTGCCTCATCCACCTCTTGACCAATGCTGGTACTCTCTGCTAATAAAGAATAAAAAGTATTATCTCTACCTGTCAACAGATACAGCAACTGTGTCTGGACTAGATTGATGAGGTCTGTGCCTATCCAGTCAAGAGCAAGTTTTTAATTTATCGATCAATAAACATTTTCTTTATCTCCTATGTCCTTCATAGAGGCAGTTAGACAGTTAGACATGGCCTGTGTGTAGCTGGAAAAAAATATATGTGTTGAGGGCAAGAATGATCCACTAGGATTTTCTTTATGCCTACCAGCTAGCATATGGAATTGATTAATCGATTAATAAATAATTTATTCTAATGTGTTCCAATATGGTAGCTGACCCAAAATTCATAGTTATATCTGAACATTTTACACACTTATTACTTGTTTTATTTTCTTTGAGTCTAAAGAACCATAGAACTAAAACATAAAAATATAAAATGGTCTTTAAAAAGGGATCCAATATCCCCATCCTAAGGAAACACTGCGGACTTAGTCTTCTCTTGATTTTTCTACAACTTGCTTTATCAAAATAAAGGCTGCACATCAAGGAACCCTATTTTCCTTCCTTCTCTTAACTCCGCATTTCCCACACTTACTGTCACCATCCCACACAAGAGGCAGACGTGATGTTTCTCTGAATGCGACTTGGGAAAAGCTTCTCTGGTTGATAAGGAATCCTCCTGAGCTCCAGTAGAGGGCAGGAAATAATCCTGAGGGTGGTCTCCATTACCTTTTATCTCCTCATTATTGTCATCTTTGCTGCCTTGCTGTTTTTGCTGCCTAGGTTTAAAGCTTCTTGGGCTTTGAAGAGAGACAAAATGCCTGCTTTGCGTCTGAAGAGATATTTTTATGATTTCTGGAACTTACACAACAAAGATTAAAAATCTAGTTAAATCCCCATGATCTTGAGAAAATGTCTGCTCAAGGAACAGCCAAGGAGCTCTACCACAGAACTCTAATTTGTTTTCATTGTACCTTGCCAGAGGGTAGGGAAATATATTTTTACTTTTCCTATCCTCAGAACACAGTAGTAGTAATTACAGTGAATATCGGGCTTCTATCCTGTTGATTTGAAGATTCAAGTTATATCAACAAAACCCAACATTTTCTGTGACTCTGCTCTTAGGGCAAGGGGCAGAGAACTCTAAAGAGCAACAACCTAGAAAGAAAATGTAATCAACCAGATAATTTGCTTTTTGCCATGACATCTGCAAATGCATTTAAATGACTGCTGAACAACATTTTTAAAGTCTCGTAGGCAAATGCTTCAAATGTATCTGAGGTTTACTGAAAGGAAACATATCTGTTTTGATTATTTTGTTTCCATTGACCTTTGAGATTTCATAGGTGTTATTAGCTATGGAATATTGGAAGAAGGGCTTTATATCATAAGTTTGATCCAGTTTCAAACTGTGAGCAGAAGTTAATCTTTTTAATTCTATGAAAACTGAATAATTTTCTCTAGATATACCTGATGTATAAAAATCCAGAAGTAACAATACTCAATTACATGTTATTCATTTTAGAAAGTGAATTATTTACTTAAAAATATGCCCACTCATAAAAACACAAAATCATATACACATCACGAAGTTTCTTTGAGTAGCTGTTTTAGTGCACATAAAGTGTGGTTTCATTCACATACACAAAAACAATGTATTCCTACTCTGCTTTACGGGACTATAATAAGTTCATAGAACAAAACACATTTATATTCATAGCAAGGCAGAATAACATATTCGTTTCATTCAAAATTTGACATTTTGCTTTTGAATTCCACTTTTCCTCTCTTTTCTGCATTTTTTTTTATGATGAAACATAAAAGCTTTACAAACTGGAAGGAAGCTGTAGTTTACACCCATTGTTATGTCTGCAAAGCACTCATTCTTTCTGGAAAATGCCTCCATCGATACCTCTCGCCAGCATGACCATTTTTATGCACAGTGATCCATCTTTTCTTGCCACAGTTGGCTGATACAGGAATGGGCACCTCCCTGCAGCTGAGACCCTTCATCAGGAATTAAGACTTAGGACTAAAAGATTTCAGCCTCAAATGTCTTGCCGTCTTCAGTGGCAGAGATTTTAACCCAGGAGCTGTGAGCCTTCATGACCCACTTTGTGGATGGAAAATAGCAAAGGTTGTTTCCTAGAGAGAAATGAAGATGTCCAGAAAGGAGCAAGGATGACAGTCTCTGCCTCCATGAGTCCTTGAGGCCTAAATACATCCTTTCCCTTTAGTTCTGGGTACCTTTTTGCAAATTCCTTCTTTGATAAGTTTATGTTTTTATACTTCCCTCAAAGATCACTCTTTACAACCAAAAGCGCCCTGATGAAGTAACTTAAATTTTGTTGTTGTTGTTATATTAATCTTAATAGATATTAGCAATTTTTTTAAATTAAAAAAATGTCGATGCCTCTAGCCCAAAACCACCAGGAACACGCCTATAGTCGAACAAGTCAACTTTATTCTTTCTTGAGGGTAGGGAGAATGCACGCCATCGGGAACCATGGGGTGTCTCAGTAATAGGGTTTTAGGAAGAATCTATTACAGGATTTTGGCATTGGTAGTCATGGAGAGGATCTGAGGAAGTGGGCCTTTGCTCTAGATTGGGTGCTGTCAGGAAGTAGGGACAATTCCATTATCTGGTATCTTTTTTTTTTTTGAGACAGTGTCTCACTCTGTCGCCAGGCTGGAGTGCAGTGGCGCCATCTCAGTTTACTGCAACCTCGAGCTCCCTGGTTTGATTCTCCTGCCTCAGCCTCCCGAGTAGCTGGGATTACAGGCACGCAACATCATGCCCAGCTAATTTTTTTTTTTTTTTAGTAGAGACAGGGTGTCACCATGTTGGCCAGGATGGTCTCCATCTCCTGACCTCATGATCCACCTGCCTCGGCCCCCCAACATGCTGGGATTACAAGCGTGAGCCACCGTGGCCGGCCTGATTGGGTATCTTAATACATTTTTTCTACAGGAGGACAGATTAGACAAGACTAAATATGGCATTGATAAAGAAGCAGCAGTCGCTCATGTTATCCAGGATGGAATTTGATATTTTATGGCTCAGCCCATGTTCATGTTTTGTTTGTGTTCAGATCTGATTACAGAGTGGTCTTGTTTTTATCTTGACCTATGAGGGTTCTAGAGTGGCCTTGTCCGGTGTTAATGTTCTTCTAAGAAATTGTTCATATTTACCAAGGAAGCACCAAGACATAGCTGTGAGTGCCCAGCCAGTTCCTGGAAGCCAGTGGCTGCTTTTCTCTTTTTTCAGTACCCGCTTTTGGCCAAAGGCAGACAGAACTAGGACACCGGCCATTAATTGGTGATATCCAGATTTTTGCCATTGCTGAGATTTCTTAGATCAAGGGGTTAGAGAACATAGTCTGTAGCTGGGCTGGAGTTCATCTCTCCTGCTCCTTTGGTTGAAGGTTGCTTTGTTGAACCCTCAGATGTGACAATGGCTGTGCAATCATATTTAAGGCTCTGGACAGGACACAAGTACTCAAATAAACAAAATGTTATTCTTAGATATTAGCAATTACTTATTGGAAAGATTGTGGAGAAATTTAGTTCATTAATTCAGCTTTACAAAAGGGTAATATGCTAGCTTTAAGCAAATCACTTCATTTCTCAAACAGAAAGTCTGCAGTGTTTTAACTTAAACTGAAATTCTGCAGTGTTTTAAATTACAGAAATTCTGCAGTGTTTTAAACTGAGTTTAATTTAAAAATTAAAGAAATTCAATTGAGTTTAATTTAAAGAAATTCTGCCGTGTTTTAAATTAAATTGAGTTAAAATTATAATTGCATGAAGAACTTTTTAAATTATGATAATGAGAGATACACTGTGGTGTCATAACATACTAGATGGAGTCACCATTAGAGCTGACTTTTTCAGCATTTGGAGTCTTTTCTGTATAGAGTAGATGTCCATAAATAGTGACTCATGCCTTCAGTAAACATTTAACGATGATCTGTGTTGAAGCACTTTGAAGAGAATGGTGGAAACGTGATGAGTATGATGTCGTTTCTTCTCTCAAGGGACTGACAGATCAGTTAATTTGCTTCGCTAGACATTCTTTCTTTCTTGTTCCTTAAAGTGCAGATCCTCAGCCAAACTTCTACAGAAACGCAATAGATGTTTATTACATGCTATTTGATGATAATAAACATTTATTGTGCCTACTTCAAGGAACAAAGAATAATGTTGGAAAAATGATTTTTAGTATATAGAAAGTCTTCTATTTAGTGAGAGGTTCTAAGAATAGTTGGCTGAGCCTGGTGGCTCATGCCATGTAATCTCAGTGCTTTGGGAGGCTGAAGCAGGAGGATCACTTAAGGCCAGGATTTCAAGACAAGTCTGGGCAACATAGCGAGACCCCATCCTCCAAAAAATAATAATTAAAAAAAATTGCCGGGCATGGTGGCTCACACCTGTAATCCCAGCTACTTGGGAGGCTGGGACAGGGGGAATTGCTTGAGCCCAGGAAGTTGAGGCTGCGATGAGGTGATTGTTGCACTGTCTTGCAGCCTGAGTGAGACCCTGTCTTCAAAGGAAAAAAAAAAAAAAAGAAGAATAGTTATAACATCAAAAATCATGGATTAAGGATTATTTATGATATTCACTAAATAAAAATATTTGTATTGTCAGCACTGTGTCTATGTGGTTCTGAGGCTTCAGCAAAGGTATTTGGGCAGTACAAAGAGCTTTTCCATTTCCCTGAAAGAGAAACATTGCAAAGGTCAGCGTCTTTGCCTCAGGAATAATTTGCGCACCTTCTATGGTGATTAAGAGCTCAAGTTTTCACTAATGTCTTTAGCTGAAAATTATGAAAATACTTGAGTTTTGTAAAGGATGCAAATCAAATGTGTTCTATTTTGCTTGCTTACAGAGTCCTCATATCTTATATTTACAAATATTTTGCAATTTTTTTCATGAATGCTTAATATTTTTGTGCACCTCTAATTCAGATTTAGTTTGTGGATAGCTGTAGGTGACACTTGTAGCTGAGGATGTGCTCTAATCCTGGGGAGGGGTGCAGACGTGGACCGTAATGGAAGTAATACAGGCTTAGGACAGAGCCTGGTCCAGGCCTTTGCACTCTGCAGGGGGCACAGGTAAGGAAGCTCGTTTGCCGTTCAGATCCGTGGCATGGGTGAAAAAATAATGTTGAAGTTTAAGATCAATTTAACATCATGTTTAATAATAGTGGTGTTTAGGCCGGGCGCGGTGGCTCACGCCTGTAATCCCAGCACTTTGGGAGGCCGAGGCGGGCGGATCACGAGGTCAGGAGATCGAGACCATCCTGGCTAACACGGTGAAACCCTGTCTCTACTAAAAATACAAAAAATTAGCCGGGCGAGGTGGCGGGCGCCTGTAGTCCCAGCTACTCCGGAGGCTGAGGCAGGAGAATGGCGTGAACCCCAGGGGGCGGAGCCTGCAGTGAGCCGAGATTGCGCCACTGCACTCCAGCCTGGGCGACAGCGAGACTCCGTCTCAAAAAAAAAAAAAAAAAAAAAAAAAAAAAATAATAGTGGTGTTTAAATTACATGCCAGTAGAATATTCTTTGCATGAAGGATACTATTCTTTTTAAACTCTGTGAAAATAGAATTTGGGGAGGGGAGTCTTGCTATTTATTCATTCAATCTTTTGTTGAGGGGTGGGCACAACAGGCTTCCTGGAGTAGATAATGTTTGAATTGAACTTTATGGCCTCAGTTGGGATTCACCACAGGAAAAAGAGATGAAGATAGAAGAGCATTAGCAAAATCATGGAAGGAAGAAACAGTATAGCAGGTAGAAAACTATGAGCAGTGTGATGAGGAAGAATTCTGCTTGTTTGTTTTTGCTTGTTTTCATTTTAAATAATATACTGCTAGGATTCGACAGTAATAAAACCTCTACTGCTTCTGCTGAGCAGACGGAGCACAAAGCTCTGCAACTCTAAAAGTGACATATGCCTGTATAAACTTTCCATAGGCTACAGTGAAAGTGTGATTTCAAAAAATTCCACAGGTTACTTTGAGGGCTCCAAAATCAAGGTAAATAGAATGCTACAATTTTCTACATATACATTATATGTGAAAAACTTCAGCAGACCCAGCCATTTATTTATTTATTTATTTATTTATTTATTTATTTATTTATTTAATATAAAGCTGGAAAATTGCTGTAAAGGTGGCATTCCTACTACACTTCTCTGGACTGTAATGCTCCATTTTAAATTTGAGTCATGCTTCTCAAGATGACTCTATAGGAGCACGTTTCTCTTTCAGTCTTCTGGTTCCAATAAGATACTGGATTTTTTTCCTCTTTCTCTCTCTACCTATCTCTTCAAGGAGTTGAGGTCTTACTCTTACAGATGGAGCATAGGTTAACATGGTGAGTCTGGGTAAGAATTTAACAATTTAAAAATCCATAACCTAAAACCATAAATATGCTGGGGCGATCACACAATAAAAAAACTACTACAGCATCTGCTAAGTGGCACTAGCAGTTGGTCAAGTCCAATTAAATTGACTCCTTCAGAGCTGAACTGAGAATACACTTGTGACAGAAATACTCAAAAGTAGGCTAAGAAAGAAAGTTTCCTATTCTCTGAATTAAACATACTTTTAAATTAGGCTTCTTTGTATTTCTTTCTGCCCAGAAAAAAAAAGAAAAGGAAAGAAAGCGTAACAGAACAGAATATTTTTAAAAACTTAGTCTCTAAGAGCATTTTTCAAGTCATTTTTCACAATAAAAAATATGTATAGTCCTGGAATGAATGTTTGGCTGTCTTCAAAAGAATGGAAAATTTCCAGTGGCTGCTCACATATGTTCCACAAATAGATGCTCAACTCTGAAAAATGAGCAGGGTGCTTGGGGCTTGTGCGGAAGATTTGTGTATCTGGGAATCGACATTGGTCAAGGATCACTACATGTATATGTGAAAAGCTGAGTTCTCCTTTTCTTTTTCAATGGGAAGATCGTGCTTCCAGATAACCTAAGACTATAAGGTTGAACACAACACCGGGACACGGTCAACTGCCTTCTGGAGAATGATCTCCTTTCCATTTGACCCTTAGAGCTGTTTTAGTAAAACTTCCTTTAGGATCTGGATGAGTCTGTCTTCCCAAATGATTTAAATCCATGGCAGCTGTAAAAGGAACACAAGTTCAAGTCAATACTTGGAGTTATTTTTTTAAATGCATGCATGCTGAAATTGACATTGAGTATGAATGTTCTCATAACTTTTGGGACTTTATTGTCAAGTTTAGTAATCAAATTTATTCTTAAATTGATTTTGAACTGGTTTAATTCAAGCAGCTAGAATTATTTTGCCAATGTTAATGTAATTAATTTGCCAAATCTCCGAGGTGGGTAGACAGCAACTCTAGCCAGCCTCCAGGAGAGGCTGAAATGGAATCTTGGTTCACACTGAAGTTTGATTCAATTCACGCAGGCATAACACAGTTTACTATGTATGCAAACAATTCACATACATATTTTTCCTATTTTGTGTAGAAAAGAGTTATGCAGAAAACCAATTTTAAATACAAATGAATGTCTCAAGCAAATCAGTTGCTAAATCTCCCATTTCTGCTCTTATTTTCATCATTCTATTCATCTATGCTTCCGGGCTAGAAACCTTGACTTCTTTTTTAATCTCTCCTACTTATAACCTTTATACCTAATTAGTCGTAAAGTCCTGAAAGAAGTCTGTAATTTTTTAAGAAATTCCTTTGTACACTGAACTAAGACCTTTTCCCTTCATCCTTGGATTGCAACTAGTAGACATGTCGACTGCCTTGCCTTCTTTTTGACTACAAGGCATTTCATATATATTGCCAGTCATACTCCTCAAACTTACTTTGATAATGTCATTCTTCTGCTCAAAAATATTGCATGTCTCTTTCTCTGCTTTCCTTATGGGAAAAAGAAAATTTAATTCTTTAGCCTAGAATTCAAGACCTGCTGAATATACTGTGCACTCCATTATTACTTTCAATTTTCTATTATTCCCAGCACTTACATATAGACAGTGTGCAGTAAATTATTTCTGTTGACTGCTTTTCCACCTTTTAGTTTTTACGTAGGCCCCTTCAGCAACTAAATTTCTCTCTTATTCATAGATAAAAATACATCCTTCAAAATCTAGCTCAAACATTGTTTTCTGCAGACCTCTCTTGTCTCTTCTGTGTGAAGTAGAAACATATTTGCTCATACTTTGTATTCATCACACATTGTTAAGCACTTACTATGCTCCAAATAATCAAAGATGAATATGACACCCTGCTTCAAGGTTCTTACTTTGGGGCATTCATCAAATAAACAGCTGGGGCAATGGTGTGTGATCAACACGACAATAAAAGACTGCATGGGTTCCAATGAGGTTTCATGGACAGTACTGTGAACTCAGTGGACGAGGGGAAGGGCCAAGGCAAGTTCTGTCATATCAGTGAATCTTGAGTGTCTTAAAAATAGTGGGAAGACATTTCGGTCAGGGAGAGTACTGCTGTGGAGACACAGAGACTTGAAATACGTAAGAGGGTTCGAAAACCAAAAACAAATTTGGTTTGACTTGAGAGGGGATACAAGGATGAGGTGGGTACAACCAAAAATGAGACAGGAACTACCTTATAAAATACTGGTTATGCTGTGCTAAGACTTGTACCTGAAATATAGGAGATGCTTAATAAACACTTATTTAGTAAACAAATCACTTTCTACTAGTACAGTAAATTTTATTTCCATTTACATATTTCATATTTAATAATTTACTAGTTTACACCTTGGTTTATTGATGGACAGCTAAGTATCCATACTTTGTGTTTTCAGCATTCCATCTGGGGTAGATCCTTAATCTGTCATTGTAACAATTAGAAAAGTTCCTTCTAATATGAGCACCAAAGGTGGAGAATTCTTAAAGTTAATATGTATAAACAAAATGTTCACATCTGTTTGTGTTTTTCTTTTTTCTTTTTCTAGGTTCAGACATTGTTCAATGGTTGATAAAGAACTTAACTATAGAAGATCCAGGTAAATAAATCATTTTCCCATTGCAAGAACTTTTTTCTTAGTGGTTTTAAGAAATATGTTTCATCAGGGATATTTTAATATGGCACGCAAGCAAACCTCCTGAAAAATTATAATTCAGTTTGAACTGTGCTTTTAACATTTATATAAATTTTATGGTAGTCAAAACATATTTCACTGAAAGTTAGCATATTTGTACAATTTTTCACATCCTTAATTCTGCCATATTATTTGATTCAGGTCATCGGTGATCGTTAGACTGGATCAGCTGTATACATGTCCATAAAATAATTGTACATATAATTTATGGCAAGTGATTATGAATTAATGAACTTTCCTTCTATAAGACACATACATCTCATTAACTTATAATTTTGCCTTAACTACATCTTTAAATACAGTTTGAAATCAGTATTTTATTTGTAATTCTGATTTTTTTTCTCGTGCCTACATGGTGTGTGTGTGTGAGAGAGAGAGAAACGCTCTATTTAAGTCATAAACCTGTTCACCATGTTGGACATTGTGTCTATTCTGTAGCAGAAAACTAATTTCCAAAGTAAGGGAACAATTTTTATGAGTTCACACTTTGCATTGCCTGGAACAAGATCCTACATATGCAAAGCATTTAATGACTTTTTTTTTTTTTTTTTTTTTTTTTTGAGGCAGAGTTTCACTCTTGTTGCCCAGGCTGGAGTGCAGTGGTGCAATCTCGGCTCACTGCAACCTCTGCCTCCTAGGTTCAAGCAATTCTTCTGCCTCAGCCTCCCGAGTAGCTGGGATTATGGGCGCGTGCCACCACATCAGGCTAATTTTTTTGTATTTTTAGTAGAGTCGGGGTTTCACCATGTTGGCCAGGCTGGTCTCGAACTTCTGACCTCAGGTGATCCACCCACTTGGCCTCCCAAAGTGCTGGGAATACAGATGTGAGCCACCATGCCCAGCTACATTTAGTGGCTTTTTTAAAATATGTAAAACCTTTCACACGTGGCAAACAATTCACATCACTGAAAGAAAATAAGATGCATATTGTTCAGAGAAGATTCTGAGAAAACAGAAAACAATAGTTATGAAAAGCTGGCATTACAGTGACTGCAGAAAAGGTCAGTGATATGCCAACCTATGTAACACACCCTTCTATCGATAGAGAGGAACTCGGCATAGCTGTGGTTCCTGCCTCTGGTAATTATTGCCTTAAAATGGTTTAGAATTAACAGTATACGAAGATGCAAGGTTTTAATTTTTTCTCATTTTAAGCTAGCTTTATAAAGCAATACCATCAAAAGATGCAGCTCAAATTCTGTCCATAAAGGCCTGTGTACACCCCCAGCTCATTTGCTACATGAGCTTTTAAAATACTCATTGTTGAAGATTAAGTGGTATTAAAACAATTAGGTAAAGACAAAGCAGCTATTGCCAGCATCATATTATCACCAGGTGAAAGGGGAGATAATTAATAGGAAGGGAAGCTACAGTCTTACCAAGTTCACATTTCAGCCTCACTTCAGTGGCATGCCTGTTTTTTTAAAACTATAGGACCAGACAAATAATCCCAGTGCTAAAAAATAGATTGACACAGTCATGGCTAATCAGGAAACTACTGATTGGCAAAGACTATTAAGGATCAGAGGTGAAGTAGATTTAAAAGAGTATTATTTCTGTAAGGTAAAGACTGGGTCAGGCGCGGTGACTCATGCCTATAATCCCAGCACTTTGGGAGGCTGAGGTGGGTGGATCACGAGCTCAGGAGTTCGAGACCAGCCTGGCCAATACGGTGAAAAACCCTGCCTCTACTAAAAATACAAAAATTAGCTGGGTGTGGTGGCACACACATGTAGTCCCAGTTACTTGGGAGGCTGAGACAGAAGAATCACTTGAACCCAGGAGGCGGAGGTTGCAGTGAGCCAAAATCACACCACTGCACTCCAGCCTGGGTGACAGAGCGTGACTCTGTCTCGAAACAAACAAACAAACAAACAAAAAAAACCTGAAGGTGTAGTTCAGTAAAAATCTAAGAAACAGGAAAAATCTTCACAGATATCATAAGCTAGTAAGAAACAATCATTGTTTATAATTTACAGGTAGGATCTTGTTTTAGCTATAATGTGCATGGAAAACTGATTTTATTTGCTTGCTGAACACTTTGAGGAAGTTTTTAAGATTCATTAGAAGCTGTTATGACAAGATGAAGTCAAATGTATCCAGGAAGGAACATACATGTTCTGTAGTCATATTTATGACAGGCTGAAAAATTAGTTTCTGATTTGTTGGTTTGTTTTTTTGAATGAAGTAATTCACCCTAGACAAAATCCAAGGCTCTGTACTGGTTTCAAGAAGAGTTAAGAAACATTAATGATTGTTCTGAATATGTAACAGATTGTGCACATGGAAAATGAATCAATCTGGTGGCTATTCTGATCCCAATTTGATGTGGTTAATAATGTAGCTGATATTATGAAAGTTACTTTGGTGGCTGCCTATATGAAACCAATCATGCCTTTTGAAACTGGTCATGAAGGGAGACTAAGTGGTTATAATGCCAAGTCTAGTTTTAACTCTATCAAAAACTCCCTGAAGATGTTTTAAAATAAGAAAGAAACCCATGCCTAGTTTCTGTCTTGTGTGCTCTCTGGTAGCCAAGTGGTCGTTTGAAGATCTCTAGGGATGGTTTGATGTTCTAGAAGTCAATAATTTGCTGAAAGAGGGTTTTGTGGCAAGATGGAAGAAGAGACTAATTCTGGGTATGGGAGCAGGTTCTGATGGCCCATTTGAAGACAGGAGGAGAAGGCTGAATGATCTTCAGGACCATACTTAAGACCAATGAGTCTATATTATTTGCAGACTTAGTGTTCAGTATTTTATCAATGAGCACTTAATAACTCATTTCTATTACAGCAATCCAGGACACATTTGGCTGAATATTTTATCAGAGATTTTGGTACCATTAGACATGTAGTCATATTTTGTTATTATTTTAGAATACAGATGGATTTGAACTTTTTGTTAAAATTTTGGATTTTTTTTAGTTTACATATATGTATAATACACATATATGGAATTAGTCTAAAATGTTTTTCTTCTGCTTTGTGAGTACACTTTTATAAAATATATCTTTCTAGGAAAATTCCATTTCTTCTTTCACACTTTCATTCATCTAACAAATATTTATTGAGTTCTTACCATGGGCCAGGCACTGGGAATACAGAATGAATATTCTCTCTTTGAACAAATTGATTGTCCTTTGCTTCCAGAATTTCACACTCATACTCTTCCATCCTTTTCACTGGCCATTTGGTTTGGTCTCAGTCTTCTGTGGTGGCTTTTCACTCTCAGCTAATCCATAAATGTTGGAAGGTTCAGGTTTCTGTCCTAGGTTCCTCTCCTTTCTGCATCTACACGCTGTTGCTAAGTGACATATGTTGAGAATGCTCCAATTCATAACTTTCATGCTGACCTCTCCACAGTGCTCCACACTCACTTCTCCAGTGCCTAAGGCCTCTCCCCGAAACGTCAAACTCAACACAACCAAAATGGAACCCCGATTTTTCCACTTCTCAAACCTACTCCTTATTGTAATCCCAAGCTCAGTTACAGAGTTGTCTTCTAACCAAGAATATACTCTATCTTTTCATGTCTTCAATTTTGATATGTGGTCTTTCAGGAGTGCTTTAAAGTTTTTAAAATATAGACTTTGCACTTTTCTTACTAAGCTTATTTCGGTTATTTTATTATGTGTTATTATTATATGTGGGTCTTTTCTTCCTATATATACTTTTTATTGTTTACATATATGAAAATGATTGATTTATATATGCTAATTTAATGTGTCATCTCTTTGCTACACTATCTTTTTTTAAAAGAAATCTTAACTAACTTATTGGAAAACTACAATACTTTTCCCAGCAGTTTATTAGGATTATATGTAGTTGTTCAAAGCCTTTAATTATTTGGCAGAATGTTTTGTTGCCTGTGCATATGCTGTTTTTTAAAACTGATTTTTTATCCTGCCTAGATACCTGTAATGCCTTTTCTTTCCTTGAAATTCAAAATATAAATGGGCCATTGCCATTTCGTTGCTTGTTCTGTGATGTATTTACAAATTTGGTGACTGATTTAAGTCTGTTGATTCAGGTTTTTCCTAGTTGAAGAAAATTTTTTTCTGTTTTGTTATTTAAGCTCATTTTCTACATTTATAAAATGCATATAATAATAACATCTACTACTTAGTGCTTTCCTGAGGGTTTAATAAGTATTACATACAGTGTAAAGCAGTTATTACCACATCTCTTACATAATAGTTCAGAAAATGTTGATTGGCAATTGTAGGTATTTTTGTATTTTTTATAATAATTGTAACTAACTATATGCCTGCTTATTCGTTCTCATTTCCTGTTTTGAAACAACATTTACTGATATGCTTCACTCTTTTCTACATCTCGATTATTATTTTCTCTGTTTTAAAATTCATTTTTTAGCTTTCTCTCTCCCTTCTCTCTTCCAGATTAAGTTTTTAAGTTTCTACATCATAACATTAATTCTAATTCTCTTCACTGCCGATTCAGCCCTTTACAGATGCTAATAGAGAATATATCTATTATCGCATGTTTAACTTTTCATCATTTTCTTATTTTTTTCTAGTTCTCTATTTCTACCTTCCTTTAGAAAGTTCTCTTCTAATCATAGACTCTAAGCATAAAATTCTCTTGTAAGTTATGTTTCATTGATTGCTTTATTACATCATGCCATTTAAGTTGAGTATTTTAGGTATATATAGATACTATTATAATCTTTATGCCATTGCATGTCTTAGAAATATTTGTGAATTTGTTTTGTGAATTTTTCTCATTTACTTTGTCTCTGGCATGAAGGACTCTACATGGAACTGATCTTCAGTTATTGACAGGGTGGATGGATTCTCCTTAGATTACTTAATGTATGTATATGTCAGTGGGATCGTCTCCACTTTGCAGCTGGAGTTGGCATTCTGGTTAATGTAAATTTGCATTAATAAGTTAGCTTTTTGACAGACTAAGTATGGTGGGGAGCGAGCTGGACCTGGGAGTAATCCTTGCCTCAGGATGTCACCATGATATCATGTTGTCACTGAGTGTGATGGACTTACTTCGTTGGAACACATTTCTGTCCTATATTCAACATTGTCCATTGCCAAGCTGCCTCCAAGACATGGCCATGGCTGATTTCTTCTGTGGTGTTTGCCCTCCACTGCGGGGAGAGAAGCTGTCCATATTTGCAGTGGTTTGATTAGTGCAGCCCCACTGCAGCTGTTTTTGGTACTGTTGATGTACTACAGTGAATGGGATTCAAAGTGTTGTGCCGCCTTCTCACATATATTCTGCTGTTTCCACTCCGGCATTGAGGGTTTTATGAGTAATCTCCTAGAGTCTTCTCTACTTAGTACTGTGGTGCTGTCTCAGGAGAATGTTGCAATCTGGTCTTATATATGGAATATTGGTTAGACTTTCAGACCACGTGCTGCCCTAATTTATAGTGCCAATGCAGATTTTTATTTGTGTCAATTATTTGTTTGTGGCATTGATAGTTAAACTTCATGTTGCCATCATGTCAAAAGTTTATATTTTGATTTGTACCTTTCAATCATATCAGTAAGAATCTAAAAGATATGTATTTACGTGTGTGTGTTTGTGTTATATAAATACACACACACACATATGTGTGTATATATATATAATTCACATGCAAATGCAAAACACAGAATAAATTGCATTAGTCTTACAATTGGACTGTGGCGGAAAGATTAAATAAAATGGCTACTTTGATTTCATAGGGAGGAAAATTAATGTGCAGCAATCATTGGATAAGGGCAGGGGGATTGGAAGGAAGAATTTAGTCCTTGGTGAACATACGTCTACATTGTTGAAATTTAGTACTCATCAAGGTTCTCCAGAGAAACAGGACAAAGCAATGTGTGTGTGTGTGTGTGTGTGTGTGTGTGTGTGTGTGTGTGTGTGTGTACAGATGGATAGATAGATGATAGATGATGGATAGATATAAATAGATAAATGATAGATGATAGATAGATAAATGATAGAGATAAATGATAGATGATAGATAAATGATAGATGATAGATAAATGATAGATGATAGAAGATATAGATATATAGATAGATAGATGATAGATGGATGATAGAAAGATAATAGATGGATGATAGATGATAAAGAGATAGACAGATAGATGATGGATGGTAGATAGATAGATGATAGATAAATGATAGGTAGATGATAGAAAATATAGATAGATGATAGATAGATGGATAATAGATGATAGATCGATGATAGATAGATAGATAGATAGATAGATAGATAGATAGATAGATAGAGATTTTGAGGAATTTGCTCACACAATTTTGAGAACTGGTACTTCTGAAATTCATAGAGCAGGACAGCAGGCTGGAGACCTAGGCATGAATTCATGTTTAAGGAGGTCTGGTGGCAGAATTCCCTCTTCCTTGGAGAAAATCTGTTTCTTTTCTCTTAAGGCCTTCAGCTGATGGGATGAAGCCCACCCACATTACGAAGAGTAATCTGCTTTACTCAAAGTCTACTAATTCAAATATTAATCTCATCCAAAAATACCTTCACAACAACATCTAGACTGGTGTTTGGCCAAATATCAGGGTACAGTGTCCTAGCCAGGTTGACGTATAAAGTTATTCATCACAGCACCCATTAAGAAGCATAGCATCCACCACTAATGTCTTCTGTTGACAGTCCACCCCATTGCTTCCATGTTGTTACATGTTCCCATTGGCAGAGCCCCTTCCTAGCTATTGACACTCTTTGCTTTAGCCAGGCTCACTCTGGGGGCACAGCAACTAATCAGACCTCAAAGTAGGAAACTGTGCTGTGCTTCTGAAAGCCCTGTGCTATTTTGCTATTTTACTCTCAGTTACATGAAAGTAACTCCATTGCTCCCTTAGATTTTTGGCATATCTGGCACTTGGTAAGCTGTCAGCTAAATATTTTTCATTCTCTTGCCCTTCAGCCTCTAGCACTGGCTTCTTACAATGGTATTCTCAGGGTTACAAGCACAACGTGAGTTTCTGTTTGTGTCACATTTGCTATTGCCTCATCCACTAAGACAAATCCCCTGGACAAGTCCAAAGCCACTGTAAGGAAGGACTATACAATGCACAGACGCAGGACTGTGTGAGCAAATTGGGGCCATTACTGGCAACGTTCTTCCACGTTCGTGTTTCCTCTGCCTTTTAAACCTGCCCTTCTGTGATAAGTCCTACTATCCTTCGGGTTGAGTTTGCAAAATTTATCTTCCAGAACAGATTTATTGTTTTCTTAGTAAACATGCTTTATGACTAATATCATGTCATATTAATTATGGATAATATTTTGAGCAAATTTATCAAAATAAAAAGCTTCAAGAAAGTCTGGATCCTTCACAAAATTATTGACAGATATCAGTAATTCCTTGACATGACCTTGCTCATTTGTGCCCCTTGCTGCCTCTCACTGTAAGAGTCATCCTGACTAAGCTCATCTAGTGATGCTGACCAGGGAGAATAGTACTTTAAGACCCTCAATCTAATGAGTAGGCTAAGATTTGAAATGAGTCTTGCTGTCACTCCTGGGTATCAAGGAACGTTATGCATTTCTGTGTTTTTTTGTTTGTTTGTTTGTTTGTTTGTTTAGACGAAGTCTTGCTCTGTTGCCCAGGCTGGAGTGAAGTGGCATGATCTTGGCTTGCTGCAACCTCTGCCTCCCAGGTTCAAGCTATTCTCCTGCCTCAGCCTCCTGAGTAGCTGAGACTACAGGCGCACACCAGCACGCCCAGCTAATTTTTATATTTTTAGTAGAGATGGGGTTTCACCATGTTGGCCAGGATGGTCTCGATCTCTTGACTTCATGATCCGCCTGCCTCGGCCTCCCAAAATGCTGGGATTACAGGTGTGAGCCACCGCACCCGGCCGCATTTCTGTGTTCTTTGAGTGGCAGCTATTTGCTCCATCTTTTTTCCTTCTCTCCATCATCCCATGCTTCTTGAGTTTTCAGCATTCCTTGAGAGGAATCCTGGCATTGAAGAGGGTCATGAGCTTTGCAGACATGCTTGAGCTTCAATCCTGTTTCAAGCACTTACTGGTTACAGGCATTGGGCAAATTAATTTCTCTGGTTTTTTTTTTTTCCCTTCCTCTGAAAAGTGCTTTTAATACCATGTTTTGTGATACTTAAAAGAATCAACATGCAAGTGGGCCAGAATCTTAATTGTATTTTTATGTAGGCCAAATTTTTAAAACTCTGAATATGTGCAAGCACATTTAACTGAATTGAATTTTTTAGAAATGCATACAACTTTTATACTAGTCTTCAAATACAGCCTATTCCATGAGCCTTTCTTCCATAATTCAGCCCCCATTGGCTTTTCTTTGCCATGAGCTGAAAGAATATTTCCATTTGATACTACTTTATCTGTTGCTTAGTTTAATTATCTTATATTTTTTATTTTATGTATGTTGGTCTCATCACTTCAGTTGAATCTAAGCAACATAATGGCAGAGGACACATACCCTCTCCAGCCATCAAATGAAGTGCCACGGTCAATCAATTCTCAATAATCACTTGTTTTTTTGACTGATGGGAATTCACTGAAGTGGCATCGGATTTATGGTAACTGATGATTCAGTTTGTGCTCTCTTAAATGGATGTGAGAACGTGAACAGAAAGAAATTTTAAATGAATTGTTTTTTATCTAAACAAAACCCAGTGTAAACAAAATGGCTTAAAATGCAGATAGAAGAATAAGATTAAGGATAAATATAATTTATCTAGGATAAAAACTTAATGACAAATACCTGCAAAGTTTCTTCCTCTAGAAGCAATATCTGTTGTAAAAATACCAGTGAAAATCAAGATTCAGGCAAATCAACCAGATGTTTTGCTTACACACCATCAAACAACTGGATCAAGTAACTTAATTATCACCGAATGAATTAAATCAATCCATTGTGCACACCATTATAGAGTCTGTCATCTGCCTCCCAAGCCTGCCACAAGTCTTCTGAAGAAGAAAGTGCTCTAAATCTTGTTAATTAATTTAATAAAACTCCATTACAAATGGCCTTTGTATTCCACGAATTTAGTTAAACTGCCAATGAAATTACAGCCCTAGGAACATGAGGGTGCATCAGAACTGAGAAAGTAAAGAATGTCTCTGGCCGGGCGCAGTGGCTCACGCCTGTAATCCCAGCACTTTGGGAGGCCGAGGCGGATGGATCACAAGGTCAGGAGATCGAGACCACGGTGAAACCCCGTCTCTACTGAAAATAGAAAAAAAAATTAGCCGGGCGCGGTGGTGGGCCCCTGTAGTCCCAGCTACTCAGGAGGCTGAGGCAGGAGAATGGCGTGAACCCAGAAGGCGGAGCTTGCAGTGAGCTGAGATGGCACCACTGCACTCCAGCCTGGGCAACAGAGCGAGACTCCATCTCCAAAAAAAAGAATGTCTCTGTTATCTTTGATAATGTTTTGGACTTATAAAGTGTTTTATGCTTTTCCAAATCATTTAATTAGATTTTTTTTTTTCTTTGAGAGTCAGTCTTGCTCTGTCACCCAGGCTAGAGTGCAGTGGCGTGATCTCGGCTCACTGTAACCTCAGCCTCCCGGGTTCAAGTGATTCTCCTGCCTCAGCCTCCTGAGTAGCTGGGATTAGCCACCACGCCCCGCTAATTTTTGTATTTTTAGTAGAGACAGGGTTTCACCATGTTGGCCAAGTTGGTCTCAAACTCCTGACCTCAGGTGATCTGCCCTCCTCAGCCTCCCAAAGCGCTGGAATACAGGCGTGAGCCATGGCCCCCAGCCTTAATTAAATTATTTTACTTGATTATCATATCAATATCATGAAGTAGCCAGGCAGATATCTCATCAATTTACAACCAGAAAATTAACAGGAGAGAAACTTGTGAATATCTAAAGTCACACAAAAACCTTGAAATAAAAGCACAGTAGGTACAACCTGTACCCTGTGTGCCTGCTCCTTTTTTTTTTTTTAATTGGAGTCTTTCTCCTGTTGTCCAGGCTGGAGTGCAGTGGCACAATCACGGCCCGCTGCACCCTTGACCTCCCAGGCCCAGGTGATCCTCCCGCTTAAGCTTCCTGAATAGCTGGGACCACAGGCATGTATCACCACACTCAGCTGATATTTATTCATTTAGTTAGTTGATTTTAATTTTTTTTTTTTTTTTTTTTTTGAGAGGCGGGGTTGTTGCCCAGGCTGGCCTCAAACTCTGGTCTCAAGGGATCTCCCTGCCTTGGCCTCTCAAGGTGCTGGGATTACAGGTATAAGCCACTGCACCAGACTCCTGCACCTTTTTGGGTTTTTTTTTTTGTTTTTTTTTTTTTTATTATACTTTAAGTTTTAGGGTACATGTGCACATTGTGCAGGTTAGTTACATATGTATACATGTGCCATGCTGGTGCGCTGCACCCACTAATGCGTCATCTAGCATTAGGTATATCTCCCAATGCTATCCCTCCCCCCTCCCCCCACCCCACCACAGTCCCCAGAGTGTGATATTCCCCTTCCTGTGTCCATGTGATCTCATTGTTCAATTCCCACCTATGAGTGAGAATATGCGGTGTTTGGTTTTTTGTTCTTGCGATAGTTTACTGAGAATGATGATTTCCAATTTCATCCATGTCCCTACAAAGGACATGAACTCATCATTTTTTATGGCTGCATAGTATTCCATGGTGTATATGTGCCACATTTTCTTAATCCAGTCTATCATTGTTGGACATTTGGCTTGGTTCCAAGTCTTTGCTATTGTGAATAATGCCGCAATAAACATACGTGTCCTGCACCTTTTTGAACAACTATTTCAGACCTGGATTCTGCTTTTGCATAAATGGCGGGCAACCATAAGAGAGGCATGGACCCAACTGACCCAAAGGTACATTACATAATGTCTTTTGGAATAAAGTAATGTATTTCCTTGGATTTGATGTTATATTTACCTGTTGCATTCTGGATACTCCATTTTGTTAGAGCAATTTCCTATGTATTTCAACTCGTATATTACAGGTCAATAAAAACAGATCTTTTCTGTATGCTCTTCAAATTGTTTCAAACAACAATCTTGCTTCAGTAGAGGGAAGCGGTAGAAGCATTTAAAATATCCCTTGCAAATAACCATTAAGACCCTTACAAACCTATAAACCTACAAAATATATATTTTATTGTCCACTGAGCAAGCTGTCATGTCCATAGGAGATCAATAAAAATGACCGCTTTATTATCGTTCCAGTGCTAGTAGACCACTATATAAAAACATTCTAGGTTTCTGAGATATATTTAACACTCTGATGATAATATGCAAGAAGTCATAGTTTGGAGCCATTAAGTATAAATCTAACAAGATTGATTGATTTGACCTAGTTTCAAGATAATAGATATTACCCAAACATTCATCTTGCAAACGTGCATTTTATATTATAAATAATGCTTAAGGAACAAACAAAGTCCTCATATCTTTGGGTACCTGCTCTCATCCCACACCCTGGCTACTGCAGCTGGAGCTTCCTAGTTGTGTACACAGGGAATCTTATATGTAGTTCTACTTATTTCATGTGAGATGAGCAAGAACTATAGTTTTCTTTGTGTATTCATTTCAGCGTATTAGGAGCTTTTCTTTAGAAGGGAGGAATTTATTTTTGCCTATATTCTGTTGGTACCCTATCTATGTTCATTCAGGGTGCTATAACAGAATGCAATAGACTGAGTGGCTCAAACAACAGAAAGATTTATTTCTCACAGTTTGGGAAACTGGGAAGTCCAAGGTCAAGGTGCTGGTGGCCTTTGTGTCTGCTGAGGGTCTGCGTTCTGGTTCATGGATGGCTGTCTTCTCGCTGTGGCCTCACATGGTAGAAGGGGAGAGCGAGCTCTCTGGAGCCTCTTTTATAAAAGCACTAATTCCATTCATAAGGGCTGTGCCCTCATTACCTAATCACCTCCCGTATGAATTTGGGGGTGATACAGACATTCAGTCTACAGCAGAGCCACCAAAATTATGGTATCTTGTACATTTATTTTTATTTTATTTATTTATTTTATTTTGTTTTGAGACGGAATCTCCCTGTATCATGCAGGCTGGAGTGCAGCGGTGCAATATCAGCTCACTGCAACCTCTGCCCCCCGGGTTCAAGGAATTCTCCTGTCTCAGCTCCCTGTGTAGCTGGGATTACAAGGGCACACCACCACGCTAATTTTTGTATTTTAGTAGAGATGGGGTTTCACCATGTTGGCCAGGCTGGTCTTGAACTCCTGATCTCGAGTAATCCACCTGCCATGGCCTCCCAAAGTGCTGGGATTACAGGTGTAAGCCACTCTGCCTGGCATATTTTACACATTTAACAACACCAAGAATCTCTCTTTTGGTGGCCTCTTGCCTCTTGGGAATGCTCTAGTGTACAGAAAGTGAGAAGTCTGCACATGTTGCTCTGTGATGTCTGCCATTCAAAGTGATCAGTGCCATCCAGTGCAGTCCCGTCACATCCAACCTGTTGGGACCAACTGTCTTATTTAACCTAGAAGCTAGCCACACTCTTTTCTTTTACTCCCCACCTTATTTGTTTTTGGTGTTGCGTTTGCATTTAAATACTGCATTCTGTAATGCAACGAGTGACTGTTGTTTCCATTGACTTGTATAATTATCCAATTGCTCTGCACAACAAAGTCCCCAAACCTAGAATGTACTGAAAGGTCTTCATGAAGGCCATACGTTGAAGTTTTCATTGCCAAAGTAGGGGGTATTTCCCCCAGGATGTCTGCCATTATTTCAGACCATCTTTCCCGTTGATAAAGGCTTTTTCAGGTTTGAGTTTCTGGCTGCCTTCACTTCCCACCTCTATCACTATATTGCAGTTCCAGCAAAAAAGAACTATCACACATGAGCATTAATCAATTGGGTCTCCCCAGGTACCATGCTGGATGTTGTCCTTTCATTTAGTTCTTGTAAGTAGGAAGGGGGCAAGAAAGCTCACATTTACTGAGCATCAACTATGTGCTGAACATCATGTTGAGAACTTGATATATATTATTCTGAACTCCAAGAGAAAAGAAAGAAAATTTGAAGAAATATTTAAAAATGTAAGTCTCAGATCATGAAGCGAATAGGAGAGATAACCAGTATTCAAACCCAGATACATTTGATTTAAAAGCATGAACACTGCTCCAGGCGAGGGATGTCACCTTCACTTCACAGATGAAGCCCCTGAGACTCCCAGCAGAACCGAGGAGCAGAGCTGGGATTCATACCTGGTGTGTCGGCATCATGCCAACACAGTACGTTTGTTAGAGACCAGCAGGTGATCTGTCTGTCCTAATTCCATTTTTGGTTTTTGCTGGACAGCACATGCATCTATAAATGCCAGTCCCAGAGTTTTGTGACCTCTCTCATTTTTATCTGATTGGTTTTTTAAATATATATTGTTTATTAGAGTTGTCAGCTATTAAGGAAAATACAAAAGGCAGCTGGAAATCTAATTAGAATTTCTGTCTTTTATCTTGTAGAACTTGAACAAACATAATGAGGCCAGGGTTCAATGGACATTTGGAGATGTGTTTAATTACACACAGGAACATCTCCTATTACAGCAGAGCTTGATATTTCTACACTGTCCACTAGAAAAAACAAAAATGAACATGGCTACACAGACCAAATGGACGATGCACAATTGTCCTGTGGCATTGTCTGATTCTTCCAGTAGCTGGCTGGCCTCTTTGCTTTCTTCTTCTTTTTAGAGCCTCACTTTCCTTTCTGCATATATGTGTTCCTTTTATAAGCCGACTTGAATTTCCTTTGGCAAAGAAATAAGACATAAGCAACTTTCCTTAAAAAGGAAGAAGGGAAGAAGAATAGACGAAAAGAAAAGAAAAGAAAAGTAAAAAGCACTGGATAAAGCTAATAAGGCCTAGAGCAGAAGATATCATCTAAGGATGTGCCTATTCATCAGGGTAGCCACTCAGAAAATGACAGAGAAATGTACGATTATATCTGTTACCCAGAAGCGGCCATAGATAGTTGTGTAAGAGCTGTCTGAAAAGTCAGGTCCCTTTATCTTTTATTAAAGATAATGCGGTATTTCTTATTTCCCAGATGAGGAATGAGTTAGGTTTTCCCCCTCCTGTATTTCAGTTGAGAACAATGCTGCTTATTCTATTTCTATGTCATATTTCATGAAACATTTTCTTTTATCACAGCTAATAATGATAGGAGATGCTAACTACAGCAGTACAAAAAGTGTGATAAGGGCACTGATAGATGTTTTATAGCCTAAATATGATCCTAGGAACATATCCATCTCTTCATTGTCATTTGTCTCAAACCACACAAGACAGGTTCCTGCTGTACAGTAAAAGGTCACCCTTTTAAAAATAATGAGTCTAAAAACCTCAATTGTAACATCTGATACGATTTTCAAATTTTGAAAATTCCCCTTTAAGTGAGGGAGGCTGCAAGTCTAATGAGACTAAAATGCTTTTTTTTTTTAATTTTGCAGTTATATTAAATTCAAGTGATTGGGGCCTCTTGAATTATCCAGAATTCCTGCTTCCTGCCGTGCTCACTAATACCTGGGCTTTGAGGCCCATTACAGTACATTATACGCACCATGTTGAATTCTGATTATCTCCATTTCACAGGAGGCACATGCTCAGATTGTGATTTGTGTTATTTTCGGGTAATAACTGCTGTTTTGATTTAAACCAAATTTTGGAAGGGATCTGCCAGGCATCAGTAGCATTTTGCTTCTACTGAATGCCCGTAGGAAGAGGGAGTGTCTGGTTTTCAAAGGCCTGAGGCTTACTCATTTGTTTTAGCAAACATGACATTCACCTCTTCCTCTGCTGGGGTTCATCCATGAACACGGGTATGTGTGGATAGTCATGGGCTTCCTGTGTGAGAAGTGATGGGTGCACCCCATCTTTATTCTTACTTTTGGCAGCACCATCAGTGAACCCTTGGCCCTCACGAACTGATCTGCCAAGTCTTCCTGGGATATTGGATATTGGTTGTTTGGATATTGGATGTTTGGATATGGATATTGGTTGGTAGATGTTTCAGCAGCCCCTGCCTAGGGACAGGAGTCAAATGTCACATGTAGTTACTTATAATGTATACATTTTTCTTAAAACATTTTGGATTCTTTAAAAGCAATAACTCTAATTTGCTTTTTGTAATTTCGAATTTGGGAAACATGAAAAAAATAAAAAGAAGAAAATAAAAAGCACTCACGAAAAGCTCCCTGAGATAGCCATAGCTAAAATTCTAGCACATCTGTCTGTCCAGTCTTCTTTGAAGGCCTGAGCCCACTCTGGCTTTATCATTGGAACGAGCCCCACTCAGTGTCTTTCCTACTCCCCATATGTGGTCATTTTCTCGGGCCTCTCGTGAACCAGTATCTCATGTCTCTTTGCCCTCAGCGGCCTGTGAAGCCCATACTCTTGCTACAGCCTTTTCCCCCCCCCCCCCACTTCTTGGCACAATCACTTTGACCCTAGCCAAGGGCACTGCTTGTGCCCGGGGTATTACGCAGCCTGTACCACTTCACAGACTTCCTCCGTGATCTCTCAGACTCTAACTTTTCACAAGGTTTTGTTGAGCTCCAGGGATAGAAGAAGAAAAACACAGCACACAGGGTAACTACGACCCTTTCCCAGCCCAGATCTATCCTTGTGTCTTTTAGAAGCTACTTCTCTGAGGCTCTTCTCATGTCTCAGGACAGTGGCCAATATCACTAAAATCTTGTAGGTATATTTAGGCCCAGAGTCTGGGCTCAAGTGACTCCTAGTGGAAGAAAAAGAGTAAACAGTTTCTTCATTTTACTCTTAGCCACGCTTTCTAAAGTCTCATATCCGACTGTCAGATTGACCTCAAGAACAATTTAAGATTGACCACTTCCAAGGATATCTTGACATGACAAACACCACCCCTGTTGACAGGGGCATGGGCTGTCCCACACTGACACATCATGGTCTGACTTAGGACATTTCCCGAAGTCTGAGCCACATATTCACTAGAATATGAGCTTTATAAGTAGAAGGACTTTGTTCTTTGTGTTGTCCCTAACCCCTACATAGTGTTTCACACATGTTGGGTAACCAGTAAACATTGTTGAATTGAATGCACTTAACAGAGAATATTAACATTAAAAAAATAGATTGTTTTATCTTGCATATTTTACTTAACAATATAGGAGACATTTCCACGTTCATAGTTTAAGCTGTAACTGGAGGTTTACCTTAAAGTGAAAAACCCTAGGTTCCCTTGACCCTTCATGACATAGAAAATGTTTAGTTACAAATAGAAAATGAAACTTCCCAAAGCTATTATCCATAGGTTTCGATTAATCAATTTTTTCTCTAAGTAAAAGCAAGGAGAGCGGTTGCCCAACTACAGGAAAATGTTCTACAGGTTCTGAATCAGCCTAAACAGGCTGCTTTTATTCCATAGAAAATGAGTTTTATGAGCAAATAGTAGCTCCTCTTAGAAACAAACCATTATTTGTGGACTGAAATGGTGTGGCGTTCTGGAAAACTCAAGCAAAGGAACAGCAAGGCCATAACAAGAATTCGTACAAATCATAAAGAGAAAACCCAAGCAGAGGAACAGCAAGGCCATAGCAAGAATTCATACAAATCATAAAGAGACAAATTCTTCTGCTGGAAATTTATCTCTAAACCTAAAATAATGTCATATTAACTGAAACAACTGCTTTCGGTTATACTTTGATTTTTTTTTCCTAAGTTTTTCAAAAATTTAAGCCATTGTAAAGTGTCATGACATCCTGCAAATAATCTTTTTTTAATCACAATTCAAGGTCGGATCATTTACTTCCAGCTTAGAAAAATAGCATATCCAGACTTTTTTTTTATATAGTTTAGGGAGAATGAGTAGGTTAGTGTTTCTAGAATGACAGGTTCATGCCTGTGAAAAGTAAGAGATAAGACAAAGATGGTAGGTGGTTGCATCACATAAATCCCAGAATTGCTCCACTGAGATATTTCTGCTCAGTCGGGTATACGACGAAGAGCTATTAAGCACAGAGAGCACCTCCTCCCTCTACAATAGGTAAATTTCCACTGCCTTGCCTTTTCGTGAACATTGGCTGCATTTTATTAATGCTTTCCAGCTCCCATCTGGGGCCTCACATTTGATGAATGTGCCCGATTTACTAACAGATGTCCAAGAGCAGCCTAATAAATTTGTGGTCACTGACGTGGTACTGTAAACGGAAACAAATTATTAAAAGAATTTTTATCCAGTTTCTTGTCTGTCCAGCTTAGAGCCAACAGGAGCCAAGATTTCTGTCACTGGGAATCATGTCATCACACCCCTGCTGTCCCACCCAGCCCTTTACAAGAGAAACGGGAGCAAACAGTGGAGTGTGAAGTGTCTGGCAGCTGACGGCCCCTCCACACTGCTGCCGGGAAGGAAGGGCTGATGGCAGCCACTTGTGAGCCTCGTTCACTCTCCACCTGTGTCTCCTGCAGATTTTGTCAAATATTCGTCTGCTTTACGTGAGCACTTGCTGTAAGGAAATACTGGGGACATGTCTTAAGGAACTACTACTAAAAGTCAAATAATGTTGTGTGGTTGGGGACACTTCTGTACCTGGAAGGTGAGGCATTTTACCAAATAATCGATTTCAAGCATGCAAAGTCAGAGAAAAAGATGCAAGCAAACTGGCAGGGAGGTGCAAAATTTCAAAGTAAAGAGTGGGACAGAAACATAGGTATTACTTAGACTCTATCATACAAATTATGTGAAAATTCTCCAGCATCATAAAGGGGCTTCTGTGGAATTATATTCTGCAATTAATGAGGACAGTAGAGGCCTAGGAGAGAGTTGATTGAGAGGCAGTGACATCATTAAACAGTTAAGAAGCAAACATATGAGAATAAGAAAATAGGGCCATAAACATTTTCTTGAGAGAAGCAAAGGTAAAGAGTACAGTTCAATGCAATAATCTTTTCAACTTGAAGTTGAAACATTAACTTGTTTGAAGTTGAAACATCTAATTAGTCACCATCAACGTATCTGATAAAGTTCCACAAAGAAGGAAGAGCCCTGAGTTTAAACCACACATGACACTTACCCAAGAGAACAGAACAGAACAAGTGTCCGAAAGGAAAATGTATGTAATATAAATGGAGTGTCGGGAAAGACAAAGGGATGTTCTTTTCATGACCTCTTTAAAAAATAGATTTGATGTCTCTTCATCTCTGATGTCAAAATGTTTTGCCTTAAGTTCGAATAAAATACACTTTTGGTTGGTCACAAGGTAAAAAATCTCTGCAATATGATAGGGTGATAAAATAGTAACCAAATAAATCAGGTTTGCAGGTAGGACTGTGATGCGTTTAATAAATTGTTAATGCACACACAAAATGTCCCCATCCTTGCACTGGAGGTACAGTGATGATTAATAAACACATCACTGCCCCTCTTACAGGCAAGAGTGACATTAAAGAAATCATTACACCAACAGCAAAAACGATCAGACACTACAACTCACAAATGCTCTCAACTTCCTCCAGTCTTGGTTTCCCAGTGCATCCACCAAGAGAGTTTCTGATCCTGGATCAATCTTGTTGTATTCCCGTGTCTATCTGAAATTCTGCACGTCGCTGTTGAAAAGTCACTCAATCCTATAAATTATTGCTACCAAGATGTCATGGTTCCCAACCTCAATCAGGCCTTCCTGACTTCCTGGCAATCCTTTCTGTAATCGGATCGATCTCCTATTTAGTGGGATGATTATTCAAAGCTTTCTCCACTTCCTCTACTGGCATGCTACATTCTCAGTCATTCTCAATATCAGACCATAATCTTTCAGGGTAAATAGAAAGCAAGGAGGAAATGTCTCTAATGTTTTAACTCGCTCTGCTTTACAAATACACTTTGACTCTGTGTGCACCCATTCTTGCTTCTCTTGCTGTCTGTGTTGAGCTTCCCTGTGCTTCTTACCCCATCCTCTCTCACCACCTCAGTGTTGTTTCATCCCTTTTTATTTTTATTTTCATTTTGAGACAGGGTCTCACTCTATAACCTAGGCTGAAGTACAGTGGCACAATCACAGCTCACTGCAGCCCCAAACTCCTGGCTTCAAGTGATCCACCCGCTTCGGCCTCCCAAAGTGCTGGGATTACAGGCGTGGGCCACCATGCCCAACATTTCATTCTTATATTTCACTTTTATATCTTAACCAGCCATATCTGTATAGGCTTACTCACCACAGTTCTCTCCCATCATAATACACTCTTACATTGATTCATGGTCCACGCTAGCTATTCTCCTATGTCTCTCCTATTTTCACAAACTCAGCTGCATTTACTGTCTCTTAATTCCTCTCTCTCAAGTTTATTTCTCAGTTCACTGGAATCTGGTGTGTATCCCCCACTTATACACTGAAACCTTATTTGCTGTGATCACTGATATTTTTCTTGTTGCAAAATTCAATGATTACTTCTCAGTCCTCAATTTGGCCTCACTGCAGCATTTTTCACTCCTTTTTAGCTTCCATTACTCTCTTCTTTGTTGTGCCATAACTTCATCACCCTCCATCTTAGTACCTTTCACAGATTTCTCTATTTGCCTCTTAACTTTCAGGGTTTTGGAGACCCAGGCATGAGATTTCTTATTTCTTGGCTCTTCACAGTTTATGCACTTCCTTATTTTGCCCATTGTTGGTATGATAACCACTACAAATATACCTCTGGACTCTCTTCTGAGCTCCTGGCCAACTGTCTTGTCTGCTATAGATCTCTACTTGGACGTTTCATGGGCATCTCATAGACTGAACAAATCTAAATGGACGAAATTCTTCTATCCCCAAATCTGTGCAGACTTTGCCTCCTAAATATCAGATCTGTCCACCTCTCTCTACTCCCACTATCTCACTCCTCATTCCAACCATCAACACATCTCACTAGGAACTGCCACTGTTTTCTACCTCATATTCCTTTTCCTCTTTTCCCACACCAGTCAATTCATTTCACTGCATCTATAATGATCTTTCCAAAACTCAGATCTAATCATGTCTCTTCTGAAGTTCAATAACTAATAGATCCCCCCATTTTCCTCAGGATAATGTTCAAACAAGCGTTTTAGCTTATATTTAAAACCCTTTTTGATATAGCCATATTTATATCATTGCATCTGCTCAGATCACTTTTCAACCCATGCTGTGTCTTCAAGCCACCCAACTGATAGTGGTTTCTCAAATGACATTATATCCCTAATCACAATAATTTGCATATGCTGCTTTCTTTGCTTGGAACCTTCTCTTGCTTCATACTCCTGTCTTTTTACTTAGAACTTGAATTAAATATCAACTCCTCCAGGAAATCTCCCTGAGCTCCCAAGATTAGATTGGATCTTCCTTTAATGTTTTTCCAGAACACACTGCATTTTTTCCCTGTTGAAATTATTAGACTGTGTAGTTAAGTGTCTGTTGATTTGCCAGTTTCACCTATTAAATAGACTACTGACTTCCTATAGACAGAGCTGGCACCTTGTCTAGTGGGTTTTGTTCTCCTACATTGAATAAATGATGACTGAGGTACACATTTGGTAAGCAGACCTTTTAAATTAGATGAGCTTGCCAAGGAAGAAAGAATATAGAGAGAAACAAAGGAAAGGGGAAGCTACAGCAGAGATAGATTTTTAAGAGACTTTTAACCATAGAGAGCAGGAGTCAGAAGGTAGGGAAAACTAGGTCAGGAGCCGGAGAGAAAGATAGCAGAGTAGACAGAGCGTGACAGCAGCCACATAGAGGGCTCCAGGAAGGGAGATTCACCAGAGCTTAAGCAGAGAAGACTGGGAGAGAGTGGGGAAGTGGTAGAACTTTTCTACTAGGAAGTCATTGGTGACCTTTGAGAGAACAGATTCAGTAGACTTCTGCCGGAAGAAGACAAGTACGGTGAGCTAAGGAAGGGGTTGGGAGTTGAAAGTAAGGAACATACGTGTGTAATACTCTTTCATGAGGCATGAACTCAAAAGGAAGGGGAGCAAATTGCAATAAGGTCGCACTTAGGAAGGTAGCAAAATTAAGGGCAGATTCTTTTCTTCTCTCTCTCTCTTTCTTCTCTCTCTTTTTATTTTCCTTCCTCCCTTCCTTCCTCTCTGCCTTCTTCCCTCCCTTACTCACTTTCTTCTCTCTTTTTCTCTCTGAGCTTGCATAAAGTGAAAAGTTTTGGACAATATAATCATCAATTAAAGATAGAATGTGGAATCTCAGAATCAATGTTGATAAAACTTCTGAATTTGCAACTCTCTGCTGCCTCTTAATGTCCTTGAAACTGTTCTTCCCCCTATAAACTGTTGTCCTCAGAAAGGTACCAGTTCAATGCCAAATGCCATTTAAGCCATTTTGCATTCCCCATTGCGCATTGCCATTGTAGACCTCACAGGGGTTGTTAGAAATTTAAAGTTAGCTAGAGTATGACAATAGGTAGCAAATTGCTACACATTTCTGGTCTATATCTGGTATATTTTGGCATCTCAATAGTTTGAAAAAGCAATTTTCATTTGAAGTAAGTGAAAATAAACATGCACATATTAATAGTAAATTTCTAAAGACCCCAATAAAGCTAAATTGAGCTCCCTGATAATAGATTATTTTATATAAGGTGGATACATTGATGTTATTCATCCATATGTACAAACTGTCACCCCTGCATGACATCACTTTGGATTATCTGATGAGGAGGAGATGGCAGAGGAGATTAAAAAAGGAAGTAAAATATTGATATGAAACTCATTTCTCTGTTATAGTATGTTTTTCTACCATTGCATAATCTTTAGCTGAAGGAAATGGTGATATTTTAATTTTTTTGATGCCATTATTTCTTCCAGCAACTTTGCTCTTTTTTTTTCTAATTGGCTATATTTATATACATTACTTTACAGATAATTTTTATTACTTTTACCATTTTAATCAATAACTAAATGATCCAAATAATTAGCTGTCTTATTCATTATCTGAATAAAAATTTCTGGAATCAACCATTTGTTTTTCAGAGCTTTTGTCCTTTTATCCCACTTTCATAATTTTACTTAATTAAAACAGATTCTGGTATCCAACTTACCTATATTCATAATTGCACTTGGCATGCTATTTCCTTCAGATAGCTTTGTAATCAGACTAAAGTTCATTAGTAACATTTTTAATGTGAAAAAAGATACCTGCATTGTTTTCCCACAAAGTTAGGTCTCAAGCTTCATTGCTTTTATAAATTAAGTTTCCACTTTCAGAATTTATTATAGTTACTTTCTTTTAAAAGTATTTTCAGCTGTGAGGAAATGCAACATTGCTTTTCATGGGCAGAATTAAGTGACTGTACATAGGTTAAGGAATGTCTTCTAAATAGGTCGGGTAAGGAATCAAGTTCCATGAGTCTCATCTCAGGCTTCATTTGTTTTCTGAGGTTTTCACTTGGCTTTTAAAGTTGGATTCAAAGACTTCTGGGAAAAAAAAAAAAAAAAAAAAAGAACAGCCCAGGCACAGTGGCTCACGCCTGTAATCCTAGCACTTTGGAAGGCTGAGGCGGGAAGATCACTTGAGCTCAGGACTTCAAGACCAGCCTGTGACATGGTGAAACCCTATGTCTACAAAAAATACAAAAATTAGCTGGGCATGGTGCTGTGCCCCTGTAGACCCAGCTACTTGGGAGGCTGAGGTGAGAGGATGGCTTGAGCCCAGGAGGTTGAGACTGAAGTGAGCCATGATTGTACCACTGAACTCCAGCCTGGGTGACAAAGCAAGACCCTGTCTCAAAAAAAACCCCAACAACAACAACAACAAAAAAAAAAAAAAAAAGAAGAAGAAGAGGAAGAAGAAGAAAAGCAAATCAATATTTTAGACTTTTTTTTTTTTGGTGTTGGGGGATGGAGTCTCACTCACTCTTTCACCCAGGCAGGAGGGCTGTGATGTGATCTCGGCTCACTGCAATCTTCACCTCCCAGGCTCAAGCCACAGCCTCCATAGAGGCTGGGACTGCAGGCACACGCCACCACACCTGGCTAATTTTTGTATTTTTAGTAGAGATGAGGTTTCACCATGTTGGCCAGGCTGGTCTCAAACTCCTGACCTCAGGTGAACCACCCACCTCAGCCTCCCAAAGTGCTGGGATTACAGGCGTGAGCCACCATGCCTAGGATGTTTTAGACATTTTTCACTCCAAATGTATTTAAGCGTGAACTTGTATTTTAAAATATGGACTGGTAGGTTGAAATAATGTTTATGCTCTCACTAGGCATTAATTAAAAATAGAGAAGATGACATTTGAAATTTTTTATCATCTTATGTATTTGCAATTTAATAAATTATCAAGATGTTATGGTGAAGTGTCCTTTTTAAAATAAAAAATAAATGTAAAATTCTTACATAAAAATTATATATAGTCATATATCCCATAACAACGTTTCGGTCAGCAAAGGACAGCATGTATGACAATGGTCCCATGAGATTATAATGGAGCTGAAAGTTTCCTAGTGCCTAGTGATACTGTAGCTATCATAATGGTATAGAGTAATGCATTGCATTTTCTATGTTTAGATATGTTGAGATATGCAAATACCATTGTGTTACAGTTGCCTACAGTATTCGGTACAGTCACATGCTGCACAGCTTTGTAGCCTTGGAGCAATAGGCTATACCATATAGTCTAGGTGTGTAGTAGGCTGTGCCATCTAGGTTTGTGTAAGTATACTCCATGAAGTTCGCACAATGATGAAATCACCGAAGATGCATCTCTCATGCATGAGATACATGGCTGTATTTTCCTCTTGTTTATTCTCAGAGCTACTGTTAGCTGCACAGCTTAAATCAAGGCATTGATTCTTTTAATTCAGCAGTCAAAGGTAATATATCCGTCCAAATAAAGTAAACTTTAGTCATATCCAGTATCAAAGCAAAGTGAGCATTTATTATAAGTATCAAAGAACCACTCTGAAATAAGTGTTTTATTTTAAAGTTAAATTTACTTTTTCTTACTTTATTTTCAGTTCAAATGATACGTTCTGCTTATACCAGGTGTAAAGTGTGCACGGCCAGGCAAACAGAGTTTAAGCAGCGTGCCTGCCTGTCTTTCAAGATCTTTATGAAAAGTATAGGAAAGGCTAATAACAGCACACAATTAGCTACAGTAAAAGATATCAGGCATTTAGGGCTCATTGGAGGGATAGATTGCTCTAGGAGGTCAGAAAAGGTCTCATGAGGGAGGGCTGTATTTGGGTGGACCCAGGGAATTGGACAGAATTATACCCAGTGAAGAAAAGCAAGAAGGAAGCTTTTTGACATATACATAAATGTTAAAGGAGAGGTACGGAGGAGAGTGCCACCTGCTCCAAGTCACTAAGTGATCCAGTTTGACTGGAAGAACTCGTATACATAATGTAAAGGCAGGGCTTGGGCAGGGTGAGTTCAGAGGAGCAGTTTCTTTATAGAGAAAGAATAAAAGTCGTCCTGCAGAGCATCACTAAGGAGTGAGTTGGGTGAAGGCAAGAAAGCAGAAACTGTAATCAAAGCATATCTAATTCCATGACATGAAACAGCTGAAATTATTTTCAAGCACACTGACAAAAGCCAACAGACAAGAAGTGATGAAAAGATGTGTCAGTTACTTCCGCAAAGAGCCTCCAGCCTTGCTACCTTTCAATCTAGTCTCCAGATTTGGAGAATGATCTCCTAAAGAACAAACTCTAACCTTGTAAATACAAGGATCCTTTGTAATGATCAAAGATAACGAAGCTGAAAAATCTGACATCGTATCTGGAACACAGCAGAAATGAATGAGGCTCTTATTGTTTTGCCACTTTCCCACTTAAACCTGTGCAAAGATTTCGCCTTCTCAGAGGAACAAATGCCAATAAGGACTTTCAGGAAGGACACAGCCTTGCATCCTTCTCCGGCCTGAGGCTTTCTCAACTTGTAGTTCTGCCAGATGAACTGCACTTTATCAGGGGTGCCCAGCCACCACATGCCTAGGGGCCTTTTTGTGCCTTCTTCTGCCTTTCAGTGCCTTCTTCCTCATTGGACTCCTACTAATTCTTCAAGTCTCCGTGAGAAGAAGGGTCACTGGGTCTGTAAAATCGTCTCTGGCTTCTTCATCCTATGTGTTTCTTTGAGATGCTGCACAGACCTTCACTACAGGTTATGCAGTAGAGTGATTTTTTAATTGTAATTTGCTCTTAAAAAATCTTATTTTAGAATAGGTTTAGATTTACAGAAAAATCACAAAATAGTACAAAAAGTTTCTATATATCCCACCCCCCAGTTTCCCTCATTATTGGACATCTTACATTAGTACGATATACTTGTCACAACCAATGAACCAATATTGGTACTGGTTAATATTAGCTAAGTCAGTTAATATTAAAGAAGTTAACATACATTAATATTAACTGAAGTCAATACTTTCTGATTTCCTTTATTTTTCCTGTCCCAGGGTTCCATCCAAGACATCACATTAGATTTAGTTGTCATGCCTCTTGTATTAGCCAGGGTTCTCTAGAGGGACAGGACTAATAGAAAGATGTATATGTGAAGGGGAGTTTATTAAGGAGAATTGACTCACACGGTCACAAGGTGAAGTCCCATGATAGGCCATCTGCAAGGTGAGGAGCAAGGAAGCCAGTAGTGGCTCAGTCGGAGTCACAAAGCCTCAAAAGGAGGGAAGCTGACAGTGCAGCCTTCAGTGTGTGGCCGAAGACCTGAGAGCCCCTGGCAAAGCACTGGTGTAAGTCCAAGAGTCCAAAAGCTGAAGAACCTGGAGTCTGAGGTTCGAGGGCAGGAAGCATCCAGCGTGGGAGAAAGATGGAGGCCGGAAGACTCAGCAAGTCTGCTCTTCCACCTTCTTCCACCTGCTTTTCCTAGCAGCACTAGCAGCCGATTGGATGGTGCCCACCCAGATTGAGGGTGGTCTGCCTCTGCCAGTCCACTGCCTCAAATGTTAATCTCCTCTGGCAACACCCTCACAGACGCACGCAGGAACAATACTTTGCATCCTTCAATCCAATCAAGTTGACACTTATTATCAACCATCACACCTCTTCTGGTCCTCTAGACTATGACAGTTTCTCAAACTTTTCTTGTTTTTGACGGCCTTAACCGTTTTGAGGAGTACTACTTGGTTATTTTGTAAAATGCCCCTGAATTAGGATTTGTTTAACGTTTTTTTTTTTCTCCTGATTAGTCTGAGGTTATGGGTTTGGGGGAGGAAAATCACAAAGGGAAAGTGCTGTTGTCATCACGTCAGAAAACCATGGATCCTTTTACCATCTCTTTTTACCTTTTTCAGAGTGTCATGTAAATGGAGTCATACACTCCATAGGCTTTTTAGAGTGGCTTCTTTCAGTTAATAATATACATTTAAGTGTGTACACTATAAACATGACATCACTGCTGATGTAAAATATATTGTAAAGTGACTCATATTTTTCCCTTTGTCATTGTATACTTTTTGGAAAAACAGTTACTAAATGTACTAAATGTGGCCCCCACTGAAGGAGTGGAGTGTTATGCTCCACCTCATTCAGGCTAAAGTATCTACGTAAATTATTTGGAATTCTTGGCAGGGAAGATGTTTCTATTTATTTATTCAATTATTTATTTACATCAGCATGAACCCATAGTGGGTTTTTTTTTTGTTTTTTTGTTTTTTGTTTTTGGTACTTTGGGATATAATCTCAAAATATAAAATTACTTAATTCAATTTTTTTTTTTCTGAAATGGTTTTATCTTTGGCCATTGGGAACTCTTGGAGTTGGCTCCTGCTTCTCTTCCACAGGAAAGGCAGATAGGGCAACCCATTGTTGCTTTTGTTCCCAGCCCTTGCTTACTCATCAGGGAGCCAAAGGTAGAGAGTGTGTGCATCAAGTGAAATGAAGACAATTGCGTTAGCTTTGTGCAAGTGTTTCCACTGTTCTGGTAAGAATGAAATACGTATGTATAAAGGTTCATTTTGTAATACTGGTAATTCTAAATTTTAGTGCTATCTCTACAAACTCATCCTGGTATGTAAGGTCATGTTGCACTAGTGATTTTAGTGCTATACCTGACAACCCATCGTGGGCTACAAGTTCAGACAGATTCCCTCCTATGTTTTCTTCTAGTAGGTTTCTGATTTTGCATTTTGCATTTAGGTCTATAATACAATTTGAGTTAATTATTGTGAAAACTAATAAGACCTGCGTGTAGTGTCAGGCCTTTCTTTTTTACATAACAATTGGTTGTGTTGTGTTAAAACAACAAATAAGGATGAAAAACACTATTCTTTTTCTACTGAATTGTTTCTGCTCCTTTGTCTAAAATCAATTGACTCTGTGGGTCTATACCTGGACTCTCTTTTCTGTTTTACTTATATATTTCTCTGTTCTTTTTCCAGTACTCACTGTCTTGATTACTACAGCCTGAAACTAAGTTTTGAAATCAGTGTGGATATTCCAAATCGGTTTTTTTTTTTTTTTTTTTTTTTTTTTTTTTTGAGACAGAGTCTTGCTCTGCCGCCCAGGCTGGAGTGCAGTGGCATGATCTCGGCTCACTGCAAGCTCCGCCTCCCAGGTTCATGCCATTCTCCTGCCACAGACTCCCAAGTAGCTGAGACTACAGGCGCCCACCACCATGTCTGGCTAATTTTTTGTATTTTTAGTAGAGACAGGGTTTCACCGTGTTAACCAGGATGGTCTAGATCTCCTGACCTTGTGATCCGCCCGCCTCGGCCTCCTAAAGCCAACTTTGTTTTTATCCTTCATTATTATGTCGGTTATTCTGGATCTTTTTCCTTTTATATGCACTCCACAGTCATTTTTTCAGTATCTTTAAAATAGCTTTCTGTGATTTTGACTGGTATAGCATTGAATCTTTAGTTCAGTTTTTCAGTTGTGATGAATTGGCATCTTTAAAACATTGAGCATTCCAGTCCATGAACATGGACTCTCTCCATTTTTAAATCTTTTATTTCTTTAATTAGTGTTATGTAGTTTTTCTCACAGATTTTGTATATATTTTGTTAGATTTATCACTATTTCCAATTTTGCTGCTATTGTGAATGGCATTGTTAAATTCAAGTTCCAATTGTTGATTTTTGGTAAATAAGAGAGCAATTAACTTTTATTTATGGAGCTTGTATCCTATAAACTTGATATTCTACCTTTTAAATTTCAGGAGTGTTTTTGTAGATTCTTTGGGATTTTCTACGTAGACAATTATAATCATCTGCAAACAAAGGCAATTTTAACTATTTCTTCTTTTCCAATGTGTATAACATTTTTTCTTTGCCTTATTGAACTAGCTAGAGTTTCCAATACAATGTTGAAATGAAGTGTGAAAGAGGACACTCTTGCCTTATTTCTGATGTTAGAGAGAAACTGTCCAGTTTCTACCATTAGTAATGATGTTAGCTGTAGTATTTTTGTAGATGTTTTCATCAAGTTGAGAAAGTTCTCCTCTGATCCTAGATTGCTAAGAGTTTTTTTTTCTTTTACATGGATAAGTTTTGGATTCTGTCTAATGATTTCTTGTCACAAATTGATATGATCGTATAAGTTTTCACCTTTAGCTTGTCCTATGGTGAATTACATTAATTGATTTTCAAATGCTGTATCAGGCTTGCATATGTGCAATAAGTCCCTTTGGTTGTGGTGTATAATTCTTTTTATTAACTGTTAAATTCCATTTGATAATATGTTAAGGACTTTTGTTTCTATGTCAATAAGAGAAAATGGTCTGTCGTTTTTCTTTCCTGTATTTATCTGACTTTAGTATTAAGTTAATGCTGGCTTTACAATTAGCTAGGAAGGGATACCTGTGCTTTAATTTTCTGGTAGACATTGTGGAGAAATGGAATCATCTCTTCCCTAAATGTTTGATAGAATTCACCAGTAAAATTATCTAGGCCCATTGCTTTTTTGAGGGGGAAGTTATTAATTATTGATTCAATCAATAATTTACTAGAAATAGAGCTATTCAGGCTACCCATTTCATCTTATGCAAGTTTTGATGGTTTGTGTCTTTGAAGTAATTTGTTCATTTTTTATCTAAGTTATCAAATTTGTGGGCATAGTATTGCTCATAGTGTTCCTTTATTATCTTTTAATTCTATGGATCCTTAATGATGACCACTCTCTGATTTCTGATATTGGTAATTTGAGTCTTCTTTCTTTTTCACACGGTTTGCCTGGGCAGAGATTTGTCAATTTTGTTGACCTTTTACAAGAACCAGCTTTTAATTTTGTTGATTTTTCTCTGTTGTTTTCCTGTTCTCAATTTTATTGATTTCTGATGTAATTTTATTATTTCTTTTGTTCTGATTACTCTAGGTTTAAATTGCTCTTCTTTCTCTAGGTTCTAATATTGCTAGCGTATAATCTTAGGTTATTAATTTTGTATCTTTCTTGTAATAAATGCATTAATGCTTAATAATGATATGAATTCCCTTTAACCACTGCCTTTGCTGCAGTCCACCTGTTTTGATCAACTGCATTTACATATTAATTTAGTTAAAAATAATTTTCAGTTTCTCTTTAGACATTTTCTTTGACCTATGGGTTACTAAAGATTATGTTGTTTAATTTCCAAATAGTTGGAGACTTTCCAACTACCTTTCTTTTATTGATTTCTAGTTTAATTCCTTTGCATCTGAGAATATACTTTGTATGATTTCTGTTCTTTTAGATTTAAGATCTATTTTATGACACAAGATGTGTTTGATCTTGATGAATATTTCATGTATGCTTTAGAATAATTTACTCTGCTGTTGTTGGATAGAACATTATATAAATGTCAATTTATATCATTGATATACTATCAATTTATATATTGATAGTACTTTTCAGGTCAACTATATTCTGACTGCTTGATTTTCTGCTGCTTATTTGGTCTGTCAATTAATGAAAAAGTGGTGTTGAAGTTTGTAACTGTAATAATGAGTTTATTTTTCCTTTCAGTTCTCTCTAGTTTTGCCTTATGTATTTTAACATTCTGTTGTTAAGTGCTTACACATTTAGGATTGTAATAGAAAAGTGATCTTCATAATCAATTTATTGTTGTTGAAGAATTGATCTCTTTAGATAATGCTTTCCATTATCCCTGATAAACTTGCTTGTTATGAAGTCTGCCTTGCCTAAACTTAATATTGCTTCTGTATTAGATACTATTTCAAAAGATTTTGATTAGTGTGAACATGGTATCTCTTTTCCCCCCTTTTAACATATATGAGTCTTTATATTTAAAATTAGTTTATTATATACATGTATAGTCAGGTCTTTTTCCTTGTAATCCACTTAGATAATCTCTGCTTTTTAGTTGGTGTATTTAGACCATTATATTTAAGGTGATTATTGATATATGTGGATTCTTCTTACATATTTGTATGTATTTTGTTCATTGTATTGCAATGCATTTGGACAAAACATGCATTTTCTCCATTGCATTTGTTCATTTGTGTCTTTTCCCCCCTTCTTTTTCAGCCAACTCTGGTTTTAATTGAGCAGTTTAAATAATTCCATTTTGTCTCTTCTCTTAGCATATCAATTGTACTTATTTGTTAAAGTTTTTAGCAGCTGTTCTAGAGTTTACGATATACATTTTAATTAATCTAACTCCATGTTCAAATTACACTATACTGTTTCATATACCATGAAGGTACCTTGTAACAGAATATTCCCAATTCATCCCTTTCTTCCTTTACGACACTGCTGTTGTTCATTTCACTTATCCATATTTTATAATCACCTAATACTGTTACTATTATTTTAAACAAATAGTTATATTTTAGATAAACTAAGAATAAGAAAAATAAGAGATTTTGTTTTACCTTTATTTCTTCCCTGATGTTCTTTCTTTCTTTATGTATGTAGAAGTTTCTGGTCTATATTATTATTTGTTCTCTGTGAAGAACTTCTTTGTAACCTTTCTGGCAAGGCAAGCCCACTAGTAATGTATTCTTTCAGTTGTTTGTCTGAGAAAATATTTATTTCTCCTCTACTTTTGAAGGGTAATTTCACTTGATGTAAAATTCTAGGTTAGTGGGTTTTCTTCCTTCAACACTTTACATATTTCACTGTATTCTCTTTTTTGCCCACATAGTTTCTGATGAGAAGCGCACTGTCATTCATATTTTTGTTTCTCTATAGGTAAGGATATTTTTCTCGCTTTTTTCAAGATTATTTTCTTTGATTTTCTGCAGTTAGAATAAGATATGTGTAGATTTAGATTTTTTTGTTATTTACTTTTCTTTCTCTCTGAGTGTAGTGTGGCATTTGTTATTAATTTTGGAGAGTCTTCAGCCATTATCATTTCAATATTTCTTCTGCTGCACTGTCTTTGCTCTCCTCCTGGTATTCCAATTATGTTATGCTACACTTTTAGATATTGTCCCACAGTTTTTGGATGCTTTTGTTATTGTTGTTCTTTTTGTTTTCCTTGTTATTTTTTTCTTCGAATTTCAGTTTTTGAGGTTTCTGTTGGTTAATCTTCAAGCTCACTGATTCTTTCCTTAGAGTTGTGTAGCCTGCTAATGAGCCCAGCAAGATATTCTTTATTTCTTTTTTAGTATTATTTCTAACATTTCATTTTGATTCTTTCTTCGAATATCTTTCTTAGAATCTTTCTGCTTACATTATTCATCTACTCTTCCATGTTTTGCACTTTTTCTATTAGAGTCCCTAACATATTAATTACAATTTAAACTTCCTGTCTGATAATTCCAATTTCTGTGTCATATTCGAATTTGGTTCTCATTGTTGTTTTGCCTCTTCACACTGTGTTTTTCTTACTTTTTTGCCTGCCTTGTAATTTTACATTCAAAGCTGAACATGGCTGGGTAGGGTGGCTCATGCCTATAATCCCAGCACTTTGGTAGGCCAAGGCAGGCAGATAGCTTAAGCCCAGGAGTTCAAGACCAGACTGGGCAATGTGGTGAGACCCCATCTCCGCAAATAAAAAAAATTAGCCCGGTGTGGTTGCACGTGCCTGTGGTCTCAGCTACTTGGAAGGCTGAGTTGGGAGGATTGCTTGAGCCTGGGAGGTCGAGGCTGCAATGAGCCATGATCACACTACTACACTCCAGCTGGACAACAAAGTGAAACTCCCATCTCAAAAAAAAAAAAGAGAGAGAGAAAGGAAAGAAAGCTGCACATCTTGTATTAGGTAATGGGAACTCAGGCCTTTAGTGTGCTAATTTATGGTTTAGTACTTGGACCGTGCTTAATGTTTGCTGTGGTTATAAATGACAGAAGCTTCAAATTCCTCTAGTGCTTTTATTTTTATTCTTCTGTGACTTTGAGCTCCTCTAAGTATTTCACCTCAGAGAATGTTTGTGTCTTAACAGCTCTTTCAGCTGTAATCTGATATTATACCATAGCCTATAGGTATGGTGGATAGTTGTTAGGGAATGAGAGAATTATATAATATTTCAATGAAATCTCAGCATTTCAGAGTCTGTCCCTTGGAGCTGTGACCTTTGCAAGTGTTCTCCAGAAGTATAGATCCCCTGTCTCCCACCACTATCTTCCTTTCCCAGCTGTAGCTTTCCCAAACTATTTTGTAGAAGCTCTGCCCCTGTTAATGTTGTTTGCTTTTATTCCTCCCTTCGGTGAGAGACAAAGTCTAGAGGGGACTGTAGTTGGAGAAATGCCCTTTCCCTGGTGAGAATAATGTCTGACAATGTCTTTCCTTTGGGGTAGAGGCCTTTGTTATAGAGAGGGCTCTGGGCATTTTTCGCAATGATTACTTTTCCCTCTTCTGCCAGAGCCATGAGGGATCTTTCTTGGATCTTCACCATGAGAATCTGGTGGGATTTCTGGAAGTGTAGCTCATGAAGGCATGTGCTCCATTCCCCACCAACACTATGAGCCCCTCGAGTTCCTTATTGTCAAGCTAGTTCACACTGAGTCTCAAGTTCTTTGTCAGAAGAGCTATTTTCATGTTTCTGTCAGTTTATGGATCCAAAAGCTTCTGCTCCAAGTAAGTAGATCTTGGTCATGTCTCTGGATGAGCCTGTCTATGCAGATTTTGGAATGGAGGTTTGTCCTACAACTTTACTTCTCTGAATGGTCCAGGAAAAATAGTTGATTTTCAGCTTGTTTGGTTTTCTTTTGTCGAAAGGATGAGAGTGACAGCTTCTAAGCTCTTTAAATGTCTCAGTTAAAACCAGAAGTCATCGTTGGCTTTTTTTTTTTTTTTTTTTTGAGTCAGAGTCTTGTTCTGTCACCCAGTCTGGAGTGCAGTGGCCCTATCTTGGCTCACTGCAACCTCCGTCTCCTGGGTTCAAGCCATTCTCCTGCCCCAGCCTCCCGAGCAGCTGGTACTACAGGCATGCACCACCACGCCCTGCTAATTTTTGTATTTTTAGTACAGATGGGGTTTCACCATGTTGGCCAGGCTCATCTCAAACTCCTGACCTCGGGTGATCTGCCCACCTTGGCCTCCCAAAATGCTGGGATTACAGGCGTGAGCCACCACACCCGGCCCATCCTTGGCTTTTTAAAGCACAGGATACTCCATGTCACTGTGAGTCTCTTGAGGGTAGAGAGAGGGAGAGTGTCACCTTCACTTTTATATCTGTGGCTTGTAGTTAAGCACCTAAAACCAAGCAGACAGTGAATAATTATCTGTTAGATGGACAGCAGATGGGTGAATGGATGGTGGATGAGTGGATAGCAGATGGGTGGATGGATGACAGGTGAATGGCTGAAGAAATGAAGTCTAATAGGGTAAATTAATAAAACCTGGTATGAGTAAATAATGGAGCAAAGAATTTGAAAAATAAAAAGGGAATGCATTTTTATTAATTAATTACATAAGATAAGCCTAGGAAACAAATCAAAATTGAAAGGTGAGAAAATAAGAAAAGAGAGCATTTTTAGGAGAACTGGGGAGAAATTGAAGGACCTCCCTCTTGACCAACAGTCTAAAATCCTTCCATTCCTAGTCTAACCTACCCTTTTGTGAAACCTTCCCTGTCAACTTGAAATGTCTTTTCTTTCACTCATACTGTGTATTAAAAGACTGTGCATTTTAGCTAAAATTCAATATAACTCCAGTTAAGTCAAATTAAAGCAAAATGCCATTTCTTCCCAGCAAATGAAGAACGAGAAAATAAATAATAATTCCAAGTGGTTAACTACTTTACAGGGATACCAACACATTTATACCCTTTTGGTGAGAATTTAAATTATATATATATAATATATATGTATGTTATACTATATATGTATTATTGCTAATAATGCCATCTCCAGATGCCATCTGGAGATGGAACAATATTACGTTTAAAAAACATAGACATACATAGCCTGGGCATGGTGGCTAATGCCTGTAATCCCAGCACTTTGGGAGACTGAGGCAGGCGGATCACCTGAGGTCAGGAGTTTGAGACCAGCCTGGCCAACATGGTGAAACCCAGTCTCTACTAAAATTATAAAAATTAGCCAGGCTTGGTGGCACGTGCCTGTAATCCTAGCTACTCAGGAGGCTGAGGCCAGAGAATCACTTGAACCAGGGAGGGGTGGTTGCAATGAGCCCAGATCACGCCAATGCACTCCAGCCTGGGCAACACAGACTCCGTCTCAAAAAAATAAATAAATAAATAAAATAGCAACACTTAAAAAATATGTGCGTCTTTTGGCTCCCCTATTTTATTTCTAAGAATTTGTGCTATGAACTAATGTAAGATCCTTTTATCCATTTCCGCTCTCATATTTTTTAGTTGGTTGCAATATCTCAGAAATTAAGTCACTGTCAGAGAGTAGATCAAGCAAACAAACCACTAAAACCAACCAAGCAAACAGACAAAAATGTCCATACTTACCTAGAGCTTAAAATATTCACTAGACAAGATAATAATCAATAAAAAAATAGGTAAATATGTTATATGGTAAGTGGTGATGAGTACTAAATAAAAATGGTTTTTATGAAAGCCAACTAAAAGATACGCGGTCTTCTACACCAGTGTAGTCAGGGCTGGTGTCTCTGATGTAGTGGCTTTGGCTAGAATCCAACTGAAGGAAGGAAGTGGGGTGTTCTGCTCTCTGGAGGAAGGGTTCTGAGCATTCCAGGCAGAGAGCCTAGCAAAGCCTAAGGCCTGCGCATGCTTGGTATGTTTGAGGAGCAACAAGGAGGTCTGTGAACTAGAGGAGGATATGTAAAGATGGGCAAGGAAATAGGAAAGGAAGACAGAGAAGTAACTGGGGTGGCCAGATCATATAAGATCTTGTAAAGCCTATGACAAGGAATTTTATTTCGATCCTGAGAAATAGGGGAAATTGTTGAGGGCTTGCACAGGAGCGACTTGATCTAATATATGTTTTAAGATAATCATCATAGCAAAGGGCAAAGTGTGAATGAAATTAGTTTGAATGTTGTTGCAGTGACTCAGCCACAGGATGATATGAGGTTGGACTGGGGTGGTGGAGGTGGTGGATGTGGGTGGCTGATAAGAGGGCAGATTCTAAGAACATACAGCAAAACAGGATCATCAGAAGGTGCTTCTGGACTGGAGTCGGTGAATGGGAGAAAGACATCAGACGATCCAAGCTTTTTGGTCCGAGCAGTGGAATGAAAGTCACTGATATTAACTCAGGTGAGAAGAACTGCGAGAAGAGTGGGTTTCAGATGAAAGCCAACAATTCAATTTTGACATGATGAATTTGAGATGTTTATTCAATATTCACGTGGAGATGTCACAAAGGCTGTTCAGAATACCATACAGGAATTTAGGAGAGAAGCCAGTCTGAAGATACGTGTTCTAAGAATGATGATCACATTTATAGGAAAGCTTATTACATAATGAAAATGGTAAAAATTTGAATTTTGAAGACTAAAGAACTGCTAAGATGCAACGGGGCCAGGGCAGTCTGGCTCAAAGGCCAGCCTCATAACCATTGCCCCATATAATGCAGTACTCTTCCCACCAGGGGGCATGTGTGTGTTGTCCACCAAGATTACTGATCCACTGAGGCTCCAGACATTTCTTCTTGTTAATATCACCTACAGCATCTAGAATTTATTTTCCTATTTATAATTGGCACCTTATAGTTGTATATATTTATAAGGTATGATGTGATGTTTCAATGCATGTATATATAATATAATGAACAAATCAGGGCAATTACCGTATCCATCACTTTAAACATTTATCATGTCTTTGCGGTAACGGCATTCAAAATCTCCTCTTCTAGCTATCCTGAAATATACACTACATTGTTATTTGCTATAGTCACCCTACTGTGTAATAGAGCACCAAAACTTATTCTTCCTGCCTAAGTGTAATTTTGTACCCATTGACCAGCCTGTCCCAGTCCCCCACCTCCCCTAGAATTTATTTGAATTCTGGAAATAAAGCTGTCTCACTATGTACTTTATTAAAAGAACCTTATGAAACCATATTTTCTTGGAGGCTAATTGATTTTAATTCTTTTTTAATTTTTGTTTTTTAAAGAGGGGGTCTTACTCTGTCACCCAGTGCAGTGGCATGATCATGGCTAATGGCAACCTCAAATTCCTGGGCTCAAGCAATTCTCCCACCTCAGCCTCCCAAGTACCTGGGACCACAGGTGTGCACCACCATGCCCTGCTAATTTTTTAAGAAACTTTTTGTAGAGATGGAGTCTCACTATGATGTCCAGGCTGGTCTCGAACTCCTAGTCTCAAGCAATCCTCTCAGTTTGGCCTCCCAAAATGCTGGGATTACAGGTGTGAGCCACCATGCCCAGCCTGATTTTAATTCTTTAAAAACATCTGATGTTTAAATTCTGGCTAATTACAAAAAATAGTGAAATTAGCAAGCAGAATGGTGAAGAAAAGAGGGGGGGATTTTTGAGGGGAGTTGTTAATACTTTAAATAACTCATCTGAATTTACTCATTATGGATTCTGAACCTGCCTCATTGTTATTGTTAGGCAGTAGTTATAATTTTAATTGTGGTATTTAAAATTACAATCAAATTGTTTATGAAAGACTGTGCTGGTTTTAAAACAGCAAACAGAAAAAATGTTTTAATACATCTTATTTAACAAATTTACCCATATCTAGTTTCCAAACTAATTTTGAGAAAGATGATCTCTATCCAGTAGGTTCATGGAAAGCTTGTGTATTAGATTTTAGGTATTCTAAAATCTAAAATTCTTATTTTCAGATTATTTTAGTTACTAAAACTCATACACCAACATATACACACAGAGATTTTAAAAATAAAAATTGATAAATACATGTGCTTTTATAAACTAGGATTTTTAAAATGATACTTTGCTGTAAAGATTATTCAAAAGTTGCAAACATCAGTCCTGACGTCCTACACACTTTTCTCAATTCAAGCATTTGTTTCTGCAAAATACAGATAAAAGTGCATTCCACTGATTTTGTTTTGAAATTTCATAAAAACTGTGACTGTTTCAGTGACCAAGCCTGTGGCTTTGAAATTAGACTTATCATTCATTATGGTTCAAATATTAAGGAATAGTGATTTTTAAAAGAGATACCATTAACAGGTATTATGAGAAGACTATATTGCTTATTCCTTAGGAGTGATATTTGATTTTCAAACAAAATGCATTCAGGATATTTTGGCACATGGGATGTGTTATTGGCTAATCCCAAGACATGTGTGCGTTTTTACAACTAGTTTTTGAAAATGTGTAAATAGAACACACTCATAAAACCAGTTCCTATTTGGAATAAGCATTCATTTGCTCTGTGTACAAAAACTCTATACTATAGCAGCCCTTGAGAATCATCAGGATTGAGTTATAAGCAACTGAAATTAAAATCAGCTTTTATATTTCGTATTGGGCTATTTTTCTCTTTCGTGTTAGAGTATTGGGACATGGGCAATGGCAAGAATGTCTGAGAAATAAAGAAAAATCCATTTCCCTTTGACACAAGGAGGCAAAAATAAGGATGGCGGCTGCTCTGCCACAACTTCTAGCTAGTGTTTTGACTGCACATCTTGTCATGGACTCAGAACTAAAAAGTCTTTAGTGATCCCCGCTGCATTTACAGATGCCAGCTCTAAGAAAGGAAGTGACTTGGCTGGATGCGTGGCACACGCCTGTAATCCCAATGCTTGGGAAGGCCGAGGCAGGCAGATCACGAGGTCAAGAGATAGAGACCATCCTGCCCAACATGGTGAAACCCTGTCTCTACTAAAATACAAAAATTAGCCGGGCGTGGTGGCGCATGCCTGTAGTCCCAGCTACTTGAGAGGCGGAGGCAGGAGAATCGCTTGAACCTGGAAGGCGGAGGTTGCAGTGAGCGAAGATCGCGCCACTGCACTCCAGACTGGTGACAAAGTGAGACTCCATCTCAAAACAAAAGAAAGGAAGTGACTTACTCCTGACATGCAGTTACAGGCACTAGGATTAGAATTTAAGCCCCATGACTTGCAGTTGAGCCTTTTTTTCCCATGATTTCCACATGTGCTTGTTTGGCAGTGTGTGCTCTCTCTGATTTGAAGAAATACATGCTGTAGAAACTCCTCTGCCTACTAAAAAGTTAATTCAGTGCCCTACTTTCTTCCAGCTCATTCAGCCAGATTAACTAATGGAAATTTTGCAGAATGTATACTGAATTTTAGATGGAATGTTGTTTTCCACTGTAATTTATTACTGCCCTGGCCCTTGCCATTGTGATGGTTTCCTCACACTGTACTTAGATGAAGTAAGCATGATTTTTATCTCATCTGAATACTATTCTATGCACCTAACATATATATATATATATATATATATATATATATATATATATATATATATATACACACACACACACACACACACATATAATATAACAGAATCTTGTTAAAGGATTGGCTGATGGAACTACCTATCTAAATCTGGGGAATGAACATGCTAATATCATATAGGCTGTATAATGTAGATCTGAAACCAGTTATTCACACCAGTATTACATGGATCATTTTTTCAAATTTCAGCATGATTTTTCATCTATGCAGAATGCCTAAGATGTCATAACTGCCATTAGACATCTAGACTGGTCTACTCTGTGTGTGTAAAAAAGATCGTTGACTTATGATTATCTGTTGCTCTCACTGCCAATTGCTTTATTATTTTAATGTCGATTTTCTTTTTTTAGTCCTAGGCAAATATTATGCTTCCCTAAGAATTCATCTCCCATTCTGATTGCTGTCCCCGTGCTCTCTCTGTCCCTGTTATTCTTCTACTGTCAGGTTCAGGGTGTCCTCACATCAGTCCTCCTCTAAAGCAGGCAGGTCTCTCATTGGCATCTGGTATTCACAGTATGGTTTTGTAAACCTAGCGTGTGGAGCATGCCGCCTTTGGAAATCTGTGGCTATCCCTGTGATATATAATAAGTTTGTCCCTAATTTCTTTTTGGGATTTTGTTAGTGTTCTTTGCTGTAGGGAAAAACATAGGCATATTTCAGCCCACAAAACACTCTGGTTTGATCACCTGGGGCGTTTAAAATAGAGTTGAATTGGAAGTGTTTAACATGACTGGGAAACCCAGAGCAACACTAGCTACTAATGTTTCCCATCGCCCCTTAAACTAGATTAAGTGCTCCTGAATGTGACACTTCATAAGTATCAACTGATAATAACTCTCATCTCAGGAGCATGTCTGTGTGGTAGACTGTGTTTTAAGTGCATTGTGCATATTATCTCAATGGATCCTTACTGCTAATCTTTGGCATTATTATTTTGTCAACTTCTTACAGATGATTACAGATGAGGGCACCAAGGCCCAGAGAATCCAAGTCTCTTGCTCAGGTCACACAGCCAGCAAATGAGGGACCCGGGATGTGAACCTAGGCAGGGGACTGGCATAGCCTTTGTACTCTGCTCCTTTTTTGGAAATAGCGTTTACTTATATTAATTTCTTATTGCATTCCTCAATGTTGATATAAATTATGATTCTGTTTTTATTTCTCCCAAATAGAATCTCTTTTAGCTTATCTATTCTATGTCACCTTATTATTCACTTCTCTATCCCGAATTATGATTGCTGTTGAGAAAGCGGCACTTGATTTTTCTTACATGCAAATGATGTTTTTTTTAAAAAGATGAAAGCTGAGGTACTTCTTTTACTAACTCCTACTGTTGAGAAAATAAACTTACTTCAGAAATTTCTAAATATGGTAATAGTCCATTTTTACTTGGTTTTGTTGGAGAATAAAATGTTCCGCATATGAGATTTTTCTACATGAATAATCTTACCTTTCCAAATGCCAGTTCTAAAAAATAAAGCATAATATTTTGAAGGATTTCTAAAATGACCACTTCCATGTCTTCTTAAACAGAAAGTAACAAGTCTAACATATCTTCTTTTTATGGCTCAGAATTGTCCTGATGAATACCTGTTATTTTATCATTAAGTAACTTACCTTTGTCTTCATTTTAGCATCTCTGTTTCCTTAATATAATCAGCTGCCATCTTTTTTCTTTTTAGATTTTCTTTTAAAATATTTCTCCCCACACACTACTGATACTTATACTGTGTTGGAAATGAAAAAAATGTTAATACATGCACATAAATAAGAGTAAATAACATGATAGTGATAAAAATACAGGATTCAGTGAAGTTTTTAAATTACTTTCTTGACTCAGAGGCATTTTATTAATCGTTGCAAAATTATGAGCTGTATTTAAAAGAAGAGGAGGCTGCAAGAAGTTGAGCCTCTGGGTAAGAAAAATATTACTGAGTTTTAAAATTACATTGTAAATATAGAGTACTTTACACTCAAGTACTCAAGCCTCTTTTATAAGCACCGTGAGCTAACCGATTGCACCCCTGGAGTTCCACAAGCCTCTTTTATACTGTGGTTTTCATCCTGTTAACTTTTTGAAATCGTTGTGGTCAAAAGCAAATTATGCTGTGGAGAATTCTCTTCGCTATCCGAGGATGTTGATAATACCATTCCTTTAGAGTTTGGGGTGAAATCATCCTATGTTGGTATCAGGCTTAACAAAGCTGTTCTAGGCTGTTCACTTAATCAGAGGTGTTTGGAGATTGATTTTTGTTTCTCAGCTTGCTCATGGCTTGAATATCCAAACAAAAAAATAAGCTGGAATTTTTTAGTAGGTTTATTGTTGAACTTTAGCTGTGTGGGTGAAGAGAATAACACATGTACGAGAAGATTAATTAGCGATTATTTTGCCGTGAAGCGTGATGCTGCTGGGCCATCTGGTGTGCCGTTATTGGGAGAGTGATCTTGACAGATTACTCAGTAAACTCTTTCAACACTTTGTTCCAAGATTGTCAGCGGTCTTATGGATTCTTATTAGATTAAGATGGTGCTAAGATTTCGGAGCAGTGGGACCACAGGGAACTGTGGCACCATGTTTGTCCCTAACAATAAACAAGTCTGTCTTGAGAATACTGCCCCAAGTCCATTCTTACTGGCATTTATCTTGTTAATATCACTATTATATTTTCTCACAACAAAATAGCTACAATAGCCCCACCTCAACAGCTTATAACACACAATAATTAGCCTGGTGTTTTTCTATGCAGTGTTAGGTTTTTAATATTCTTGGTGTGTCATTTACTCATAAATGTCCTTGTTCATTGATTTAGCAAATATTGATTCACTTGCTACTTTTGCCATGGATATGCTGAGTGCTAAACTTGTCATCCTAAATGAAGCAAAAAATTCACCCCAACTTTCTGATTTTTCATCTAGGCATTTATCCTGCTCTGGAGCTATATTTTCTGGAGATCCTGTAATGAACACAAAATATCTATTATTATTTCAGTACCTCTAGATTACTATTTGACCAAAAATCTTAAAACCATTTGTAAGCATTGTGAGAAGATCAGTCCTCTTAACTATTAAGTCAAAAGGTTTGATTTCACCTTGACATATGAAATGTGTGTGACTCACATAGAAATTAAATCTAGGTCTTACCTGTATCACCACCAGTATATTTCTACTAAATTCATGACATGATGCAAAAGTATCAAAACAAATTTTCCTTAATTGTAAAATTATGGAACATAAGTATCACTCAGAAGAGAAGTAAAATGAGAATGCATATCATCAAATCAAATGAAAATATTGTACCTCAAAAAAGGAAGGAGAATTTTACTAATTCACTCATACTCATTTGCAAGCATTTATTAATGACTAATTATGGTAGTATTACATGAAGAAGAACCTGCCAACATACACTTTGCACTCTATAAGTATATAACTTGTAAATTAGTAGTTAATGAGATGCAGGAGTCAAGAATAGTCTTATGATCACTCACTTCTGTTTTTCTTTTTTGTAGCATCTCTATATTTACTTTCACTCTATTTTTCTAATCCTCATCAACACTTTAACACCCAATTGCTTTTTGTTGTTCCTTGGCTTGGTTTTAGTCACACTCTTTCCTATGCTTAGAACTCAGAAGCTCCTCTTACTGTCTATCTTCCTGGGCATCTCAGTTTTCCCTTCTTGTATCTATACTCCGCAGATTTCCTTATGTGCCGTAACTTAATTTTTCTTCCGGGAAAGTGTGCTAACACTATCTTCCCAGGCCACAGACTGCTGGGACTAAAATAATAAAGATGGCTATACGAAGACAGATGGGCCACCTACAAAGGATGTTACATGTTGCCCCACCCTATATTCCCTAACAGGTGTAAGGAAGTCAGAGATCATCTGCAACCCCCCTAAGCTCTTCTGTGGATCTGGAGACCAGGTGGATACCAGGCAGATTAATAGAGAAAATCATACACATTTTATTAGTTTTACATGTACATGGGGATCTTCACAAGAGTGTGAAGTCTGAAGAAATGGCCAAAGCAAGACACTTCTATACTTTTTAGACAAACAATAATAAATTTAAGAAAAAAATGACAGAACAAAGAAAATCTGGCTGAAGGCAGTAAATTTTCTAGCAGAATCACTAGGGAATATATTGGGGGCATAAAACTAGTGGAAAGTAGGGGTTACTTGATTAAGTTTATTTCTTAATTTAATTTAATTTAATTTTTTGAGATAGAGTGTTGTTCTGTCGCCCAGGCTGGAGTGCAGTGGCGTGATCTCTGCTAACTACAACCTCCACCTCCCGAATTCAGGTGGTTCTCATGCCTCAGCCTCCCAAGTAGCTGGGATTACAGATGCCTGCCACCATGCCCAGCTAAGTTTTTTATTTTTTATTTTTTTTAGTAGAGACGGGGTTCACCAGGTTGGCCATGGTGGTCTTGAACTCCTGGCCTCAATTGATCCATCCGTCTTGGCCTCCCGAAGTGCTGGGATTACAGGCATGAGCCACCGCATCCAGCCCTTTATTCAGGTTCATTGCAGCCCCCAACTCCCAGTCTCTGGTGATAAGAGCTATTTTCTTGCCCTGGCAAAAGCAAGATACCCCTCCCAGAGGAATCTTTATGGCTTGCTGCATATAGGAAGAGATAGGCCAGCTAGCCCTTTCTGAAACTACAATTCATCCAGTGTTTTCAACTTGAAACAATCTGGGGTATTTTGGGATGGCATATTCTTCACTCGTCCACAGGGGTACTTAGGGATTCAGAATTTAACCAGGACTATAACCACCTGCTCATTTGTTATGGGCCAACTATCTTTCTAGATCCTCTTACCATTTTAATTTTACAGACAGTCAAAAAAAAAGAGAATAAGATGATGTTGATGAACGTGGCTGCTTAGGACTGTCAGGATTCCTCACTCAGCCTAGCTTTTTAAAACTTTTGTTAGATATTTATAGGGTACAGAGTAATATTTCAATACATGAAATGTGCAATGATCAAATCAGAATAATTAACATATCTATCACTTCAAAGTTTTATGTTTTTTTTGTGTTGGAAATATTCACTCAACCTAGCAGAAGGCAAATGTATGGAAGTAGATTCTCTGAAAGTGGTTTGTAGAAAAGTAAAAATTATTTTGTGTGTAAATAATGAAGCACAGTAGCTACCATATACATAGTACCTACTAGGCTGGAAGCATGATTCCAATTTCATTACAAGTGTGCTTATGTCATTCTCACGTCAATCCTGCCAGGTAGGTTTATGACCTTTATTAATAGATGGGGGAGGCACAGAGAATGAAAGTAACAGAAGACAGTGGGTGTCTCCAAAGTTCTTGTTCTTTCCACAATGACACCCTGGCACTAAAGTTTTAACAAGGATAGGTAGGCATGTTGCTATGAGCAATGCATGCTTTGAGAAGGCCTTGACTTTGAACTGAAAGGATGTTGAAATGATGGAAATACACACACACACACACACACACACACGCACAAAATTGATGAAAAAAAAATGCTCCTCTGTACAAAAAACAACATTCTATACAGAGAGACTTGACTGCGAGTTTGGAGATGATGGCTGGAGCAGTTAGTAACAGTCTTCCAAAGCCAGGGCAAAGAATGAAGAATAATTGGCAGTTGTTCTTTATTATCGGCAAGAACAATGCAGGGAGAGATCAGAGGTAGAAGTTATCAATTGAAATGTTTGCAAAATGCTAGATAACAATTTCAAGGGGCATCATAGTACCCCAAAACAGATAAAAATTTAACAACAAATTGTTTATTTATGTAGGTGTAAGGGGTAAAAGGATGGGATTCTTATGCTTTGCTGTACCATAGCTAGCTACTTAGTTACTCAGTTCTTAACTGAGGTGTAAAAGCTCCCCATGGTTGATGGCTGGAGATATAGATAGATCCATGTTGTCCTAGAACTGCTGTAAGAATCCTAGCTTCTTGACTAAGAAACAGAAATAAATTTATAAATGAATTATACATAAAGATACATAAACAGATAAATAAATCTAACTTTTCTGGTATTTTCTACATACAGTAGGCCCTCTCTATTTATGACTTCCACATCTGTGGATTCAACCACCCATGATCAAAAATCCACAGATGTGGGAGGGCAAAGTGGGGAACTTGAGCATCCTTGATGTTTGGTATCTGTGCAGGTCCTCAAACCAATCCCCTGAGGATACCAAGGGACAACTGTACATATATTTTTTTTGTTGGGGTAGAAAACTATTTTGCATAATTTCATATTTTCTAGCCTTTAAGTTAGAAAACTTTATGTCATCTCTGCACAAACGCAGTAATAACTATTGACCAAATTTTACTAACCCTTTTGTTGGAAGAAATTGTTGGCAGCTATAAACAGTATGAGTATTACAGCCTTAGTTTCAGACTATATGTTTACATTGTCCAATAAATCTCTTCCTACTCCATATTTAGAACACTGTATAGAATAGTAAAAGCTAGAACAATCTTTACAATCACCAGTCTGTAGATTCAATAGTGCAGCATACATGGTCCTTGATGCCTTAACATTCCCTCATAGCATCACAAAATAATGGTCCATATCATTAGAAACATTACTGATGGTACTAGATTGCTATGATATTGAGAATGAGGTGATGCAAGTGAAAACTTTTAAAAGTTTAAAGTGCTATAAATGCCAAATGCAACTGCCTGTGAGAGAACATTATCACATGGGCCAACACACATCTATAAAATGAGGGAGACATACTCTACAGATTGAGAAGAGCCTTCCCATTTTAATGTTTCTTAACTTTATCTTCTCATGGACTTGTTGTCATTGGATGAGGTTGGTCATGGCAGTTGCTACCAGGAACTAGAACCATCTTAGTGTCTTGTGAGAAAGAGCTGAAAAAAGAAGAAAAAGCACAAAGCCAGGTTTTCAGAATGCCAAGAATGTACTCTAAAGTGTTAGAAACAAGAGCTGGGAGTCGCAAGGAAAACGAGCACTCAAACAAAGGATTTCTCAGCAAGGCAAATTTACTTCTGCAGAAGGGTGCCACTCGCACTTCTGGCCACTGCGAGAGCACACCGAACAAAGGAGGGAAGGGGTTTTTATCCCTAACGCTATTAGTCCCTGCTTCTGTGTCCTGTCCCCATTGGCTGGAGTCGTACCACACAATCTAAACTGACCCGATTGGCTACTGTTTAAAATTGAATATGGCTAATTAGGTGGGAAGGGAGAGGCTGTCCGTTTCGGTACAAGGCATGTTTGGGCATGTCAGGGCACGGCAAAGGCAGGAAGTGTAGTTTTGGCTGGAAGACCTGTTTCAGTGGGAGGGGCAGTTTACAGAATGGGTAGCCAGGAGTAAAGGAGGACTGTTTCCAAATAAGGAAGAGATGTGAGTTACAGACTGGGACTGGTAGGAGAAGTTGTTTACAGAGCAGGTAGCTTAGGAGAAGGGACAAGGAAGTTTATCTCGAGAGCAAAGAACAAGGAAGTCAGAAATTAAATCTTTCAAGAGGAACTTACTGTATCTGACAAAAGGAACCACACAAAAACGTTACATTCCTATAAAAGAATACATTTAAAAGGCTTTTTTATGTTCTTTGTTTGTTTTCATAAAACAGTGGAGGCGCTCCATTTGGGAACATTAATGGCTGCCCACGGCTACTTCTTTCCAATCTCAGATCATGTCCTCACACTCAAGGATGATGGCACCTTTTACCGGTTTCAAGTAAGTTTATTAGAAATGTTCTTTAACAGTAAACTAGAAGCCCGCATTTCGTTTGTTAGTTAGGTTTCTTTTGAACAGAACTTTTAAAAACTATGACTTATTTTACTTTGACTTAGGCTAGTTAGAAACTGATTAACATTAAACTAAAGACATAAAAAGCAATAAACACAGAGAAAGATAAAGTATGCTTAGTCAAGATGATGTGTGAAAGCTAAATTGTGTGATGATTGAATTTCTATTTTATATGAAAAGCTTAAGGGAAATTCATAAAGTGACTTAATGGCATTCGGAAGGACCGGAGAGTCTTCCTCTGTCTGACCCTTGCCTGTGATCCAGACCATCTTCAGCCCAAGTAAATTTTAACAGGAATGCTTGAAACTCCAGATAGGATTCAGCTAATTAATAAACTCTCAGCATCCTAGGCTCTTCTACAAATCTGTAAAGACTGACATGATGATATATTGTGTGTGTGCACTCAACTGCAACAGGACACCTCAGATAACTTGCAAACTGATAAGAGTCATTCTAGGTCATTTGCAAATGACACAGATGCTATTATTCTTTCTGGCAATGATTGTGGACTCTGATTTCAGTCATTGTAAGTATATTTGACACTTGAGTTCACATTGATTTACCTAAAGTATATTCTACATTTCAGTAGACATTATGGCTCATTAATAACTGATTAGCAGATTCTAGCCTGTAAAATTAAGGCACATAAAATGCTGGATGTCAAACTCTAATCCATTTCCAAGAGGTATTTGCTGGAGGGTTCTCCCCACAGTCCAACTTTCAGACTTTGGAGCCTTCTTCTCACTTGTTCTAAGTATTATTAAATGCTCTATGTCTACATAAATGACTGAATAGTAATCAGAGTACCTAAAATTTGTTTGGGAAAACTGAGAACAAAGAGGAAATATGCTTTAAAAATCACTTTAATCATTTGCTTTAAAAAATCATTTTAAAGATTATTGTCCTCATAGAACAGTCTCACTGCCCCTTCCTTGGACTCATTTCTTCCAAGGCAAATAATCGTAGGACAGTTTTGGACTTAAGAGCTAGGAGGAAATAAAGCTGTATCCTGAAACTGTGATACTGACCTAAGTATTCAAGCACTTAGTTAAATTACGTAACTTAAAAAAGCTTTACATTAATGGAGCTTTATTCTTTATACAGCAAAACTTACACTAATGGTAGCTTAAAATAGCATATTATTAAAGTAACTTCTGGCCCCAAGATTAAATTTTTAATAACTAGGAATTATTGGTGATCAGCAAATAAATTGTTTTTATGTGACTAATGCTTCCTGATTTTTTTAAAGAAATCTCTATTCCCAGAAAATGTAGTAGACAGACAAGGTTTACATGTCTTAGTCATGCTCATGGGTCTAAAAGGGCACCGAGGCCGGGCACAGTGGCTCATGCCTGTAGTCCCAGCACTTTGGGAGGCCAGGGCGGGCTATCACTTGAGGTTAGGAGTTTGAGACCAGCCTGGCCAACATGGTGAAACCTCATCTCTACTAAAAAAAAAACAAACAAAAAAAATTAGCTGGGTGTTGTGGCATGTGCCTGTAATTCCAGCTACTTGGTAGGCTGAGGCAGGAGAATAGCTTGAACCTGGGAGATGGAGGTTGCAGTGAGCCGAGATTGTGCCACTGCACTCCAGCCTGGGCGACAGAGCGAGACTCAGTCTCAAAAAAAAAAAAAAAAAAAAAAAAAAAAAAGCCATGTGAAGGAAGGGATCACCATACACACAGGAGAAAAGGAGAGAATTTTTAAAAGAGCTTTAGAACAAAGCAAGGGAATGGGTACAAATGACATATGAATTATGTAACTACTAGGGATAGACAGAGAGTTGTCAAGTTCAGTGTGCTGAGATAGATAGGCAGATATAAAATAAACTATCTATACATATACACATTAAAATTACATTAGTGCTAAATAGTAAATGTTACATATTTTAATGATGCATCCATATTTGAAATAGTATCTAAATATAACAAACACATTTGTAAATCTAATAATATTAGAGTTCTGAAACCAAGATTTTAAAAAACACCAGAAAACTCAGAGGTAACTGAATTTCTACTATAATGTCTACCAAGTCATTAACCAGTCCATATTTGAAGAGTTCCAATAATAGAAAACAAATTATTATTCAAGGTCTTCACTTCTGTTTTTACGTTGGTTCCAAGCAGCGAAAGTTCTTTATTACACCGAAGTGAAATTCAACTCCTTGGAAGGATATTTTAAAATCATAAATTAAAGTAGAAAAGTTGGGATGCCGTGTTTACAAATCCTCCAGTGAATGATTGGGAGTCTAACCATCATTAAGAATCTAGGCTGGGCGCAGTGGCTCACGCCTGTGATCCCAGCACTTTGAGAGGCAGAGGTGGGCAGATCATGAGGTCGAGATTGAGACCATCCTGGCCAACATGGTGAAACGTCATCTCTACTAAAAATACAAAAATTAGCTGGATGTGATGGTGCGTGCCTGTAGTCCCAGCTACTTGGGAGGCTGAGGCAGGAGAATTGCTTGAACCCAGGAGGCGAAGGTTGCAGTGAGCCAAGATGGTGCCACTGCACTCCAGCCTGGGTGACAGAGCGAGACTCCATCTCAAAATAATAATAATAAAAAAATCTAAAGAGTCTTCAAAGCATTAATTTGAGATAAACAGAAATCTTTATTTCATTGGCATGACAGTTTATATATTTGTCTCAAATTTGTAGTACATGTCTTAATCATGTGATTTTTTAAATTTACCGTAAAGTCACAATTGTCTAATCATCCTCTCTTAGCTAACTGAAAATGAGATCTGATGTAATTCTTTAGCTCTCTTTCATGACTTTCAATACATTAGTATATGCTCCAACAGTTATTGAACAACAGTTGAACAGTTTTGGATGAGTTTCATCCTAGCTAAGGAAGCCAATATTGAAAAATCAAGAAACTCATGCATTAAAATGTCCTAATGTATGGTAGAACTATGAAAGTATGTATTTAAATTCCAAAAAAAACTGTAAGAGTTTGTTGTTCTCCTATATTATCGTTTACTACAGATCAAAACACTACTTCTTAGAAAAAATCTTCCATATTAGTGAAGAACATTGGTTTAGTGGCATTTCCACATAATATCACAAGAAAAAATTACTTTATGCTTTAATTTTACAGTCATTAAATTCTCACTAAAGTAAATGATGGAGAATGAAGAAAAATATAAGAATGCAGTTGAGAATATTTTTTGTGCTTTTGTGGGAAAAAAGTATATGTCTTGTCTGAGTAGAATAGGTATTTTAAGGTTAGATAAATAGATATGCCTGCACACACACCTATACATACACATATATACTCCCCAAAATATAGAAACTACCCAGAGGGAACAATGCACTCCGTAAGAAGCATCTCAGAAAGTAACACCGGCCGGGCGCGGTGGCTCACACCTGTAATCCCAGCACTTTGTGGGGCCGAGGGGGGCAGATCACGAGGTCAGGAGATGGAGACCATCCTGGCTAACACGGTGAAACCCCGTCTCTACTGAAAATACAAAAAATTAGCCGGGCGTGGTGCGGGCGCCTGTAGTCCCAGCTACTCGGGAGGCTGAGGCAGGAGAATGGCGTGAACCCGGGAGGCGGAGCTTGCAGTGAGCCGAGATCGCGCCACTGCAGTCCAGCCTGGGCGACAGAGCGAGACTCTGTCTCAAAAAAAAAAAAAAAAAAAAAAAAAGAAAGATACCAAAGTAGAAATATATCTCTTATAAAACCTAAGAAATAGCATATCAGAAAATCGTTTTTAGGCCGGGCACAGTGGCTCACACCTGTAATCCCAGCACTTTGGGAGGCCGAGGCAGGCGGATCACGAGGTCAGGAGATCGAGACCATCCTGGCTAACACGGTGAAACCCCGTCTCTACTAAAAATACAAAAACTCAGCTGGGCGTGGTGGCGGGCACCTGTAGTCCCAGCTACTTGGGAGGCTGAGGCAGGAGAATGGCGTGAACCCGGGAGGCGGAGCTTGCAGCGAGCTGAGACCGCACCACTGCACTCCAGCCTGGGCAACAGAGTGAGACCCTGTCTCAAAAAAAAAAAAAGTGACACCCTACATGAAAGCAAAGTTTTAACTACTTTGTCCCCCTAGGGCTATCCTAGAATCCTGATTCAATTTTATTTTTAAGAAATCGAATTCTCAAAGCTTCATCTCCTATGGAGTCAAGTGAGATTGGGGTGATAAGGGTGACCCACATAAAGTCTTACTATCCTCTTTTGTCTAGCAGTTTAGTCTTTTTTTCTTTCTTCAGAATTCCTACGATGATTTTGTTCTCATGTTCACAAAACTACTGTTAGTAGCCTTCTTTATTTTACTACTGTAATTCCCAAGAAAGAACGGAGGGTAAGTTGAAATCCCTGGGTGATGGTAGTCGGGGGGGCCTCTGAGACAGTTTGGAAAGACTTTTCTGTAGAGATTCAAACAGTTCTCCCTATCTACCCATTTTCCCTTCTTTAGAGTCTCTCTTCTAGAGGGGAAAATGATCAGATAATCAGAGATGACTCCAAATATGCTTATTGCACATGGTAGTTAGTGTAATTAGCTAACAGATAGAATTAAGCCCACAGTACTGATATTTGCCATCACTGTTACAGTGAGTCCTGCAGGCCTCATCATTCCAGGGACTAGGGGTTGATAAGGAGACAGGTGATCATCAGGTTTCTTCGTGGTCAGGAGCCAAGCATGTTCAGCTAGCAGGGCTAGGAAAGTCCTTTTAGAAAATATAAATGTTAATGATAATAATAAAGTTTCTCTCGGTCAGACATTTTCTTTGTAGTTTAGTCAGTCAGTTTCTAGATTCTACAGAATCTGGATTCTGCCTATTGCAGATTGTATCACTCAATTAAGACACTATTCCTTTAAAAAAAATCTCTGATTTGTGCAGTTTAAAACTTTAGAGAAACAAGTGTCTTTGTAAGGAAATGTTTCTATTTTTATTTATTTTTTGTAGGTTTTTTTAATTTAAATTTTATAATTTTAATTTTTGTGGGTACATAATAGGTGTTTATACGTATGGAATACATGAGGTGTTTGGATACAAGGATGCAATGTGGAGTCATCACATCATGGAGAATGGGATCTCCATTCCCTCAAGCATTTATTCTTTGTGTTACAAACAATCCAGTTACACTCTTAGTTATTTTTAAATGTATAATTAAGTTACTATTGACTCGAGTCACCCTGTTGCACGACTAAATGGTAGAAATTAGTTACAAGAGGAATTTAGGAAATGTCTTTAAAAGTGAGAGTAAAAAGTTGCTTTAATCTCATTGGACAATGCTGAGAACTGAATTATATGACTAATGGAGCCAGGCAAATCATTGTCAGATCTCAGAGAAAGAGTCTATCGGTTGGTTGAGCTTTTTGGAGCTACCAAAAGCAGTGTTGAAATACATGATTCATAGAAAACAATTTGTTATATTTAAATATATTTCATCCTGAGTCTTGCCGAACATACTCTTTCAGTCCTCTCTGTGGATGAATACTTTTTGCTTGAATATACAATCAGACCTTTTTGCCTTTATGTCAGTTGGTGTAAAATTACAGCAAAGGGATGACATTCTAAATACCTGCTTGCTGGTACTACACATGTTTAGAAGCTGAGCAATTGGTCAGCAAAGTACATGTAGACAAAGAGTTTTCAATGTCTCTCTTGGAACATGTTCTGTATTATAAAACATATAGCAAACTAATATAGAGAATTGTGGAAGATAAATGTAATTCACTGGCCAGAAACTCCACTAATTTTTTATTTGTCTAATCTGGGTTCCACTTCTTTTCATTCCGCAGACCCCCTATTTTTGGCCATCAAATTGTTGGGAGCCGGAAAACACAGATTATGGTCAGTGCCATCTCTCATTATTTTATTATTGACAGCCTGTATGTGTAGATGGATGTGTACTTGCGTTTTATTGCTTTTTTCATTAAGAAAAGGAAACCACAGTTCTCAGGATGGGACCAATATTTTTAACATTGAATTGATAAGCGGCTTTGTTTGGAAAGTCACCAGACCTCGTGACAACTTTCTCTGTGGTATGGTGCCCTCTGCAACTATTAAAGAAAGCCTTCTGATTAGGTTAAAGAGCTGTAAATAAGCTTAAAGGGGTTATTGTTTTGTCATAGCAACCTGGCCTACTAGAAAGAATAAAAAATAGACCCATAGAACCAGAGTTCTAGTTCAACTCTCCCACTTAGCTGTGTGCTTTTTAGTAAGTCCCTTGACGTCCCAAGGGTCCGCTTTTCTCACTGTTCTGTGAAGTATCCTATGATTTTTATAGGTGGAGGGTTGTGTTAAACATGAAGAGGCCAATTACAAGCAAAAAAAAAAAAAAAAAAGCTAAAAAAGAAAATTCAATGCTAATAAATCAAGTTCAGTGAACTTAGAACAAACTTGGTTCAACAGCCATTATTTCACTCAAGCTCTTCAAGGAGAAAAAGAGCCCCTAGTAAGTATTCATCTTCTTAGATCTTCCTGAACAGTACAGTTTTCAAAGACAAGATTGCATGGTTTTTAAATGTCATTTCTGCAAGTGTTTATTGAGTATTTTTCTTCCTATGCCAGTGCAGTAGAAGATGCTAGGTTCGCAAAGGGGACTGAGTTCATTGACACCATTGGGTAGCTCACAGGCTAGATGGGAAAATAGGATTATACAGAAGGAGTTACTGTAGAGTGTCAAGTGAATAGGAGAGTGATATATGCAAAATTATGTGAATGTTTAAAAGAATGAGAAATTGACTTTCCCTGGGGTCTTCCAGAATGATTTTGCGAGAGAACTGGTACCATTTGAGCTGGATCTTAAGAGGAAAGATTTTTCAGATGAGAAGGCAGGGCAAGCGTTTGAGGTAGAGGAGCTGGCATAATATACAAAGGCAGTGAGAAGCTTTGCAGCAGCTTGGCTTTCTTTGGTGTTGCTCCTGGAGAGACATTTTTATAAGAAGAAAAAATAAGAAAATTCATAGAAAATCAATAAAGCTATCTCTCATGTGTGTCATTTCAGAAACTTGAATTTAGTCGATCATCCAAGAATGGTCAGGCTCTAGTCAAAAGAGTCGAAACTAACATAACTCATGAAAAAAAAATCTAAAAACCAGAATACCGAAAAATTAATACGGAGACAAAATTATTTCTTTCCAGTAGTGAGAATGCCAGTTTCTTCATCCAGGGCACACATTCCTCAAAACTGAGGTCCTTGGAGAAAGAAGTTATTTTACAAAACGACTACTGATTTGTAGATTTGAGTTGGAGAACTTTCTGGAGCATTTTATTCAAGCTAGGATAATGCCTGGAGATTGTCTCACTAAAGAATATGAAATTCTAGTGGAGGAACACTGGAACAGCTAAGAGGGAGCTCATAGAGAAAAACCCAGGCATTGGAGGCAGACAGACCTGAACATAAATACTGTCATAACCACATACCAACTGTGTGACTTTAGGCGTGCAATATCTCTGAGCCTAAGTTTGCTCACTTTTCAAACAGAAATCATATTGACTTCCTAAAGTTGTTAAAATAATTCAAATTAATACAGCTAAGGAAACTAGTATTGGTCCTCTCACATACTCAATACATTGAAATTAGTGTTTTGTGCTTGTCATCATTATTGCCTGGCAGATACACTGCCTCTTTTCCCTGTTGAAAAGCAAATTCCCAGCCGGGCACAGTGGTTCACGCCTATAATCCCAGCACTTTGGGAGGCTGAGGCGGGCAGATCACCTGAGATCAAGAGTTTGAGACCAGCCTGGCCAACATGACGAAACCCCATCTCTACTAAAAATACAAAAATTAGCCAGGGTGTGGTAGGGCGTGCCTGTAATCCCAGCTTACCTGGGAGGCTGAGGCAGGAGAATCGCTTGAACCTGAGAAATGGAGGTTGCAGTCAGCCAAGATCGTGCTACTGCACTCTAGCCTGGATGACAGAGTGAGACTCCGTCTAAAAAAAAAAAAAAAAAAAAAAATTATAAAGAAAATAAAATTCCCATTCTCAGTGTTTCTTTCTGCCCATCTGTTGTGTCATCTTTCATAAATATGTTAGAGTGCTCACATTTAAAGCACATGTTTTATCATTTTATAGTAGGTTGATGTTTCAGTGGTGAGCCTGAGGAAATGTCATGGCCTACACAGCAGATCATTTACAGAACATCTCTTAAAGTAGATCGTCCCAAAATGCTGCATGTTTAAGTTTCACATTGTTCCGTGAAAGGGTCATATATGCGAAGTGTCCACCAAATACAGAAGGAGCCAAGAAACCAAAGAACAGAGCAGAAAAATCCAGTGTGTTGGAAAAGGGTGATTTATTGGGGAACTTACAGACAGAAGCGTGGTCTTGGGTGGCCACAAGAAAGGTAGGCCTTCGCACTACAACCTTCCAGACCCAGGGTTTATATATCCTGGAGGAAAAGTATATTTGCTCTGGAAGGAATGAGTGGGTGGCCGAGAGAATGCTATGGGTGTTACAGCTACGGGTAATGTATGCAACAAGATCAAGGGTTGTTGTGGAGGAAAGGTGTAACTCAGAGTAAATAAGTGTTTCTACATAGAGAGTAAATCATCAACTAGACACCTTGGAGGCATTCCCAGACTCAGGGTTAATCAGGAGCCAACATGGCAGATTAGCATCCAAGATGGAATCACTCTTGTTCCCACACATGTTACCATCCACTGGTGTCCATTTCTGAGGGGATCATCTCCTACACTTTCTCCCCAAACCTGGAATACTTGCTACTTACAGTAACTAATTTATTCTTTAATTATTATGTTTGGGTTTTTTTCCTCTGAAGAAACATATTATTGGTTGTGCTTAGCTTGCCTGAATTATATACAAGTAAATTACAATAATGTAATTATTCCATTAAGAGGATATGGGAGAAAAATGAGAGGAAGAGAATAACAATGATCTCAGACACCATACGTGTCTGTACCTGCAGGCAATGATGCTTCATTTTCTACGATTTTTCTTTTTAGGTGCAAACAAATTATAGCAGCAATATGAATTACCCAACTTTGAATTTCCTGCTGCCATTTGTTTAAAGCATACTTTTATAAAACCTCACTCCCGGCTTTTAAAGAGGATATTGATGGTGTGATGTACTTGGGCTGTGAAGTCCAAAGCACAGTAACTACTTAGGCTGTCTTTTCTAAGACAACTTTGGGGCACAGGGACTTTATTGCATAAGGCAGGTTAAAGAAGAGTTTATTGGCTGTGCGCGGTGGCTCACGCCTGTAATCCCAACACATTGGTAGGCTGAGGTGGGCGTATCACAAGGTCAAGAGATCAAGACCATCCTGGCCAACATGGTGAAACCCCGTCTCTACTAAAAATACAAAAATTAGCTGGGCATGGTGGCGCACGTCTGTAGTCCCAGCTACTTGGGAGGCCGAGTCAGGAGAATCGCTTGAACCTGGGAGGCAGAGGTTGCAGTGAGCTGAGATTGCACCACTGCACTCCAGCCTGGTGACTGAGACTCCATCTCAAAAAACAAACAAACAAAACAAAACAAAACAAAAAAAACCAGTTTATTTCATTTTGTTAGTATCCTGACCTGTTTCCATCCCCAGTTTAAACTTACCAAGTAGGTTCTGCTGAACATAAGCCTCAATAGATCAGTTGATATGAAAAACTACTTTTTCATAATTATCTTGGTTTTATAGAAAAATGGAATGTTTTGATTCTGTTCAATAACTAAGACAAGCCAATACGGACTAAAAGGCCTATATCTTTATAAACTCCATTCTTCGAAAATCAAGTTGGATAAGATTTCTGGTATTTTGTGTGCAAGTACAAAAAGCATTCTAATTCAAGCCAGTTAAAGTGGAGTCAGAAATGGGCTTTCCCAGATGTATTTGCTCATCAAGAGAGATCCAGCACTAAGGACTTGCAGTGTGGGCTCGAGACAAAGGCACAGGAAAACTCAAGAGAGCTTTGGTAAGAAGTAGAGACAGTGTCAGTTGTAGCAAACTGAAACAGAAGCCGAGGCAGGGTTTTTACTGGTACCTCTGGACACACACATTGCACACAAAGGGTCCTAGAAATGACCATTTTATACACATCACAAAACAGATACATAAACTAATGAAACAGAATTGAGAGCCCAAAAGTAAAGCCGCACATCTATAACCATATGATCTTTGGCCAAGTCAACAAAAATAAGCAATGGAGAAAGGATTCCTTATTTAATAATGATTCTGGAATAACTGGCTAGCCACATGCAGAAGAATGAAGCTGGACCGCTACCTTGTACCATATACAAAAACTAACTCAAGATCGATTAAAGATTAATATAAGACCTCAAAATATAAAAACCCTAGAAGAAAACCTAGGATATACCATTCTGGACAATGGCCTTGGTAAATAATTCATCACTAAGTCCTCAAAAGCAATTGCAAGAGAAACCAAAATTGACAAGTGGGACCTAAACTAAATAAAACTAATTAATTAAACTGAAGAGTTTCTGCACAGCAAAAGAAACTATCAACAGAATTAACAGACAACCTAGAGGATGGCAGAAAATATTTGCAAACTATGCATCTGACAAAGGTCTAATATCAAAAATCTATAAGGAACTTAAACAATACAACAAGCAAGAAACAATCCCGTTAAAAAGTGGGCAAGGGACATGAGCAGACACTTCTCAAAAAAAGACATACAAGCAGCCAGCAAACATACAAGAAAATGCTCAACATTACAGATCATCAGAGAACTGTAAATCAAAGCCACAATGATATACGATCTCACACCAGTCAGAATGGCTGTTACTAAAAAATCAATAAATAACAAATTCTGACAAGGCTATGGAGAAAACAGAATGTTTATACTCTGTTGGTGGGAATGTAAATTAGTTCAGTCATTGTGGAAAGTTGTCTGGAGATTTCTCAAAGAACTAAAACTAGAACTATATTCATCCCAGCAATCCCATTACTGGATATATATTCAAAGGAAAATAAATTATTCTACCAGAAAGACATGTGCACTTATGTGTTCATCACAGCGATATTCACAACAGCGAAGACATGAAATCAACATAGGTGCCCATCAATAGTGTACTGGATAAAGAAAATGTAATATATATACACCGTGGAATACTACACAGCCATGAAAAAGAATAAAAGTATGTCCTTTGCAGCAACATGGATACAGCTGGAGGCTGTTATCCCAAGCAAATTAACACAGGAAAAGAAAACCAAATACCACATGTTCTCACTTATAAGAGGGAGCTAAACATTGGGTATACATGGGCATAAAGATGAGAACAATAGACGCTGGCAGGTACTGGTGGGGGGAATGATGGAGGGGTGCAAGGGCTGAAAAAGTACCTACTAGGGACTATGCTCACTACCTGGGTGTTGGGATCAGTCATACCCCAAAGCTCAGTATCATGCAATATACCCATGTAACAAACCTGCACATGTACCCCCTGAATCTAAACTAAAAATTAAAATTATTATTGAAAAAAAGAAATGAGTACAAATGGAACAATGTCTTTAGGCTGGCTCCTTTCAAGGGTTGAATCTCTAATATCCAAATAGGATTTTAACTCCAAGAAATTGAAATGTCCAAAAAAGACAGGAGCCTCCCCTGTACTTACTTGTATGACTCATCTCACCCATCACACCCAAATCCTTGTCCATTTGAACTTTTTGCATTAATTTTTATTTTTTTCAAATACTGCACTAAAATATTATTTTGATTAATGTTATTTTTGCAAATATTGCATTAAAATATTATTTATTTTGATTACCGAGTTTTTTGACACTCCCTTAGATTTTGCACCTGAGGTGACTGCATCACTCACGCCATCCTAGTGGTAATACAATTAATATTACATTTGGTTCTTGGGCTATCTTAAAAGACCTTAATTACAATGTAGATTTTGTCAAGATCATGGTAACCACATTAATTTTTGAATTGGATTAAATTTTGAATTTGAAGGACAAGGAATATTTAGCCAGAAAAAATACATATTTAGTATGGAAGGGAGAGATGTGTGTGGGAGAGATACAGACTTTCTGGTGTGTATGGCAAAACCAACATATGACAGTTGCAGAAGGAAAAATTTGTTCCCCACATAAGAACCTCCCAATTTAAACAATTAAAGTTGTTCAAAACATCGCATTATCTTGTAGGGTGATGATTTATGCCTCAGTAAATGTTCAATGGAAGGCCTGTCTTTTCTCCAGTATGTTGTGAAGGTTTTCAGACCCATGGAGAAAGACTGTAGCTAGTGCTCCCAAACAACTAGACAAGATGAAGTTCCACTTGCCAAAACCATACTAAAGTAATAATAAAAGGATGTTGAGAATCAATACATCTTTCATACATGATAATAAGAGGCCAGCAAAAAGAAAGTATTCTAGTTGGCCAACCACAGCAATTGTAGGCTGACATAAAATAATTATAGCAGATTTGAGATAAATAGTAATTTTTCCTTCAGGGACAGATTTTAAGTTGGTCAGTTACCATTGGTAGAAAGCTTGCCATATCCAAAGTTTTGTTTTGGGGAAGAGATGACAAGGGATTTATGACCAACTAAAGAGATCAAATACATGGTGAACTAATTTAAAAGAATTTTGAAATAAACACATAAAACCAAATTAATAGCCTATATGACTTTAGAACTGTGTCTTGAACCTTGAATAGCTGATAAAATAACAGTGCCTTAAATATCTGCATAATCCATTAATAATTCCATTATCTATAATATTAGAAAACTGAGAATTTAAGATATTGGGGAAAGTGAAAGAAATTCATTTTTCTAAAAGTAGACATTATTTATTTCTTTATCTAAAACATTGCAGTGCTTTCAAATATATCCATTCCGTTAAGACAAATTGTGTGTGTTTTTTTTTTTTCATCTGGATTCCATTTGGCATTTAATTTACACAGTTGCTTGTTTTATAAGAGCTGTAAGAGGGCCTCTACAGTTCTATTTTATTGTCCTCTGAAGAACTTTCCAAGCCTTTGTCATTCACTTTTAATGAATCCATCCCTGCATGTCTGTTTTTGAAGCCAGGTGTTAGTGGCTCCTAAAATCATGTTCTAGGGAGCAGAGTTTTAAAAATTAATGGACTTCATTTTTTTCAGAGAATCTCAAAGTTTACAGAAAATTAAACAAAATATGCAGAGAGTTCCAACAAAATGCCTCAGTACCACCTATACGTTCCCCTATAATTAAAAACTTACCATAATATAGTATGTTTGTTACAATTAATGAGCCAAGATTAATACATAATTGTTAACAAAAGTCCATAGTTTATATTAGGGTTAATTCTTTGTGTTATACATTCTGTGGGTTTTCAGAAATGTATAACATTTATCCACCATTTAGTTTCACTGCCCTAAAGATTCTCTGTGTTCTGCCTATTTATCCATACCCCTACCCTAACCCCTGGCACACACTTATCTTTTCACTGTCTCCATAGTTTTACCTTTTACAGAATGTCATAGGGTTGGAATTACACAGTGTAGAGCCTTTTCTTCTTTCACTTAACAAGATTTGTTATAGTTTCTCCATGTCTTTGCATGGCAGGATATTTCATTGCTTTTTATCACTGAATATTCCATTTTATGAATATACCATAGTTTATCCAGTCACCCATTGAAGAACATCTTAATCAATTCCACATATGGCAATTACGAGTTGAGCTGCTATAAACCTTCATGTACAGAATTTTTTTGAAGACATAAGTTTCCAATTCATTTGAGCAAATACCTAGGAAAGTGGATCATATGGTAAGAGTATATTTAGCTTTGTAAGAAACTTCCAGTCTTCCAAAGTGGCTACACTATTTTGCATTCCCACCAGCAATGAATGCAAGTTCCTGTTGCTCCACATCCTTACCAGCATTTAGTGTTTTCAATGTTTTGGATTTTAGTCATTTAATAGATGTGGTATCTCATTGTTTTTTAAATTTACAGTTCTCTAATAACATATGATATTGAGCACCTCTTCACATGCATATTTGCCAAGTGTTCGTCTTCTTTGTTGAGTTTTCTGTTCAGATATTATATTTTGCCGATTTTTTAATTGTGTTGTTTTCTTATTGTTGAATTGTAAGAGTTCCTTGTATATTGTGGATACCAGTGCTTTATCAGATACGTTTTGCAAAGATTTTCCCCCAGTCTGTAGTTTGTCTTTCAGTGTCTTAATGGTGTATTTAAAAGAATCAAAGTTTTAAATTTTAATAAATTCCAACTTACAATTTTTTCTCATAGATTGTGCTTTTGATGTTGTGTCTAAAAAGTCATTGCCAAACTCAAGGTCACCTAGATTTTCTCCTATGTTATATTCTAAAGGTTTTATAGTTTTACAGTTTATTTTTAGTTGTATAATTTATTTTAAGTTAATTTTTGTGAAATTAGTAAAATCTGGAGTCTATATTTATTTTTTTTGCATGTAGAGGTCTAGTTGTTCCAGCACCATTTTTTGAAAATAGGATCTTCTCTCCATTCGATTACCTTTTCTACCTTGTCTAAGTCTCTTCCTGAAATCTCTATTCTTTTTCCTTGATTTATTTTTTTTCTTCTTTTGCCAATACCACACTGCCTCGATTACTATAGGTTTATAGTAAGTTTTGAAGTTTGGTAGTGTCAACTCTCTGTCATTGCATTCCTTCAGTATTGTGTTGTGTAATTTGGGTCTTTTGCTTTCCACTTCAACTTTGGAATCGGTTTGTCAATATCCTCAAAGTATGCTAGGATTTATATGGAGATTGCATTGAATTCACAGGTCAAGTTGGAAAGAACTCACATCTTAATAATATTGAGTCTTCTTATCCACATATTTGGTATGTCTTTCCATTGATTTTGATCTTTGATTTCTTTTAAAAGAATTTTGTACTCTTATTAATATATATCTTCTATATACTTTGTTAGATGTATGCCTAAGTTTTGCTGCTTACATAAATAGTATTGTGTTTTGAAATTCATATTTCAATTTTTCATTGCTGGTACATAGGAAAACCGCTGACTTTTTTTGTACCCTGCAACTTTGCTATGATCACTTAGTTCTAAGAGTTTTTGTTGTTGTTGTTTCTTTGAGATTGTCTACCTAGACAAACATGTCTTCCTGAACAAAGATTTATTTCATCCTTATCAAACTATATACCCTTTTTTTCTTTTTCTTGTCTTATTCCATTACCTAGGACTCCAGTACAATGGCAAATAGGAGTAGCGAGAGGGGACATTCTTGCATTTTTCCTTATTTTAGTGGGAAAGCATCTAGTTTTTTTTTTCTTCAAGAGAATTAAATCATTTATTGATTACACATGATAATAGATGTTACACAATCTTCATTCCCATCTATAGTTTTTTCTGGTACCATTATTCAATTTAGTATATTGCATAAGATGTGCCAACACTCATTTTTATAACCAATAATTTTATGATTTTGCTTGGCTATTTCCTTTTAATGGTGAACTTCAGGTCACAACAGTAACTATCAGTTCAACTATAGCAAGGTTTCTGAAGACAACGGCTTCTCCACCCAAGCAGGTTGTGTATAAATTCCAAATAGAACCTGGCATCACCCTGAAGGAATTCTAACTTCCCACTGTTGGGGGAAATTTACCAAGATGGCTTCAGAGCAGACTAACTTTATACAGTACATTAAAAAAAAAAGACATTTATTCAGCATCACAATCAAACTATTACATTTAGCAATCAACAGCATGGGTGAAAAAAAAAAATCTACATTAAGACCCTTTGTTGGAATGCTTGGAATGCTTTACACTTTCCACAGAACAGAAACTAAAATAACCTGTCATACAATTAGTCACAAATACAGTCCTCAAGTTTTTTGCCCATACACGTGAGTATTTGTCTAAAACATGTCTTCTTTGTAGCAGCTAGGCCCTGCCACCACTGTGCTTGGCTGAGTTCACAAATCTGTGGTAACCTGTAGCTTCCCTGTCACTTCTCTGGCTCTCCTCTTCCGCTAAGCTTTGTTTCCTAATTAAAATCTTCTGCCACTGCCGTAGCTACTGCTGTTACTGCAACCACCATAGCCACCTTAGTTTCATGGTTTGACAAAGTATTGGCCTCCATCACCATAGAGGCCAGAGCTTCTGCCTCCAAAGTTTCCTCGCTTCATGGGTCCAAAATGTGAAGATTGATTGTTGTAATTGCCAAAATCATTGTAGCTTCCACCACCTCCAAAATTGCTGGCATCATTACCAAATCCATTATAGCCATCCCCACTGCCACCATATCCACCACCACAACAGCTGCCACCAAAGCCACCATGACCACTGAAGTTTCCTCCACGACCAAAGTTGTCATTCCCACCAAAACCACCACCACGATCACCACCAAAGTTTCCAGAACCACTTCGACCTCTTTGGCTGCATGAAGCACTAGCTATCTCTTGCTTTGACAGGGCTTTCCTAACTTCACAGTTGTGGCCATTCACAGTGTGGTATTTCTGAATGACCGTCTTATCCACGGAGTCATAGTCATCAAAGATTACAAAGGCAAAGCCTCTTTTCTTGCCATTGCCTCAATCAGTCATGATTTCAATCCCTTCAATTTTTCCAAACTGTTCAAAATAATCTCTTAGGTGATGTTCTTCTGTGTCTTCTTTAATGCCACCAACAAATATGTTTTTCACAGTTAAGTGGGCACCTGGTCTTTGAGAATCTTCTCTTGAGACAGCTCTCTTTGGTTCCACAACTCTCCCATCCACCTTGTGTGGCCTTCCATTCATGGCCACATCCCCATTCTCCACAGTGGCCTATGTGACAAACCCAAAGCCCATGGAGCTCTTGATGTTTGAATCTCTCATTACCACACAGTCCATGAGCATTCCCCATTGCTGAAAATGGCCCCTCAGGCTCTCACCTTGTTTCAAAGCTCAGCCCTCCAATGAAGAGCTTCCTCAGCTGTTCGGTTCTTTAGGAGACTCTGACTTAGGCATGAGGGCAGGGAGAAGAGAGACTTTTCATTTGTACTATATTAGCTGTAGGTTTTTTGTAGGCATTTTTTTTTATCAAGTTGGGAGCATTCCTCTATATTTCTAGTTTGCTAAGGGTTTTTATCATGACTGGTGCTAGATTTTGGCAAATGATTTCTCTGCATGTATTGATATGATTGCATGATTTTTCTTTAGCCTGTTGATGTGATGGGTTACATTAATTAATGTATAAATTGTCAACCATTCTTGCATATATGGAATAAATATCACCTGGTCATGATGTATAATATTTTATACATTGTTGGATATAATATGCTAATATTTTGTTGGTGGTTTTTGCATCTATGTTTATGAGAAGTATTGGTCTGTAGTCTTCCTTTTTGGTAATTTTTTAATGACTTTGGTATTAGAGTAATGCTGGCCTTGTAGAATTAGTTAGAAAATATTCCTCTGCTTCTATTTTCTGGAAGAGATTGTACGGAGTATTATTTCTTCCTCAAATGTTTGGTAGAATTCCCCAGTGAAGTTATCTGGGCTTGGTGGCTTTCTGTTTTGGTAAGTTGTTATTGTTGATTCAATTTCTTCAATAAGTATAAGCCTATTTAGATTATCTATTTCTCCTAGTGTGAGTTTCAGTAGATTGTATCTTTCAAAAACTTGGTTCAAATTTTTGAACCAAAAATTTGTTATCAAATTTGTGGGGTTGAGTTGTTCATAATATTCTTTTACTATTTTTAGGATAAAGGGGATCAGCAGTGATGGCCTCCTTTTCAGTTATTATACCAGTAATTGGTGTCTTCTTTTTTTTTTCTTAATTAGCCTGGCTAGAGGCTCATCAATATTAATTGTTTTAAGCACCCAGATTTTGGTTTCGTTGAATTTCTCTATTGATTTTCAATTTTATTGATTTCTGCTCTGATTTTTATTATTTGTTTTCTTCTGTTTGGCTTAGATTTAATTTGCTTTTGTTCTTCTAGTTTTCTAAGATGGGAATTTAGATTATTGATTTTAGATCTTTCTTTATTCTAATATATGCATTCAACTTCCTTCTAGGCACTGCTTTCACTACATCCTGTGAATTTTGATAACATGTATTTTCATTTTCATTTAGCTTGAAATACTTTAAAATTTCTCCCGAGACTTCTTCTTTGGCCCGTGTGTTGTTTAGAAGTGTACTGTTTAATTTTTAGGTACTTTGAGATTTTCCAGCTTCTTTCTGTTGTTGATTTCTAGTTTAATTCTATTGTTTGAGATCATACTTTGAAAGACTTCTATTCTTTTACATTTTTAAGGTGTGTCTTATGACCTAGAATGTGGTCTATCTTGGTGCATGTCATGAGAACTTGAGATGACTATAGATTCTGTTGCTGTTGCATTAATTATTCTATAAATGGCCATTAAATTCAGCTGATTGATGGTGCTGCTTAGTTTGATTCTGTCCTTCCTGATTTTCTGCCTGCTAGATCTGTCAACCACAGATATATGTGTGTGGAAGCCTCCAGTGATAGTAATTGTTCATCCATTTCTCTTTGTAATCTGTCAGTTTTTACCTCAAGTATTTTGATGCTCTGTCGTTAAGCACATACACATTAAGGTTGTTATGTCTTTGTGGAGAATTGAACCTTCTGTTGTTATGCAATAAAAGAAATTTATCCCTGAAAAATGTTTTTTCTAGAGTCTTTGTCTGAAATTAATTTATCTAATTTAGCTTTATTTTGATTAGTTTTAGCATGGCATATCTTTCCTCATCCTTTAACTTTTAATCTGTGTCTTTGTATTTAAAGCAAGTTTCTTCTAAACAGAATATAGTTGGTTCTGTTTTATATCCACTCTGATAGTCCCTGTCTTTTACTTGATGTATATCATTCACATTTAAAGTGGTTATTAATATTGTTGGTTTAATATCTATAACTGTTACATTAATGTTTATAACTGTTTTATATTAGTTTCCTTTTGTCTTCCTGTCTCTTTCTGCCTTCTCTGATTTTAAATGAACATTTTATATAATTCTGTTTTCCCTTTTTGCCCAGTATCAATTATAATTCCTTTTAAATGTCTTACAGTTTTTCTAGAGTTAGCAATATACATTTACAACGAATCCAAGTCCATTTTTAGGTAACACTGTACACTTAACATGTAATGCAACTATCCCATAACAGAGTATTCCTACTTTCTCCTTCTTATCTCTTATAATATTGCTGTCATTCCTTTCCTTTAGGCTATAACCACCAATTGCATTGTTGCTGGTATCATTTTGAACACTTTTTTATCCATCAGATCAATTAAGAAACTTTCTATAAAGAGATTTTGTTTGACGTACATTTACTCCTTCTCTAATAGTCTTCCTTTCTTTATGTAGTTTCAACCTATATCATTCTCCCTTTTTCTGAAGAACTGTTTTTAAACATTCTTTTCAAGGCAGGTCTTTTGTCAACAAATTCTCTCAGTTTTTGTTTTTCTAAGAAAGTCTTTGTTTTTCCTTCACTTTTGATAATTCCACAAGATACAGAATTCTAGGTTAATGGGTTTTTTCTTTAGAGACTTTAAATCTATCACCCCACTCTCTTCTTGCTTGCATGGTTTCTGATGAGAAATTCAAAGCAGTTATTTTATTTTTTCTCTCCAGGTAAGGTTTCCCTCATCCCATCCACCCTCGCTCCTTTCAAAATTTCTCTTCATGTTTGGTTCTCTGAAGTCAAAATGTGATATGTCTGTGGTTGCTCTGATAGTTATTGTGCTTGGTGTTGTTTGAGTTTCCTTGTTGTGTGGCTTGGTGGATTCCTTTACTAGAGCCACCATAACAAAATATAACAGACTGTATGGCTTAGACAATAGAAATTTATTATCTCATCAATAAATATGAGGGTAGAAGTGCTCTGGCTACTGGAAGTCCAAGAACAAGGTGCTGGCAGGATTGATTTCTCTTGAGGCTCTCTCCTTGGCTTTCAGAAGGCCACCTTCCCGTGTCCTCACATGGCCTTTTCCCTGTATAGGCCCATCTCCTGAGTCTCTTCCTCTTAGAACAACACCAGTCATATTGGATTGGGACCTCACCCTTATGATCTCATGTGACCTTCATTACCTCTTTAATGGCTTTATCTCTAAATACAGCCACATTCTGAGGTTACTGGGAGTTAGGGCTTTGACATAAGTTGAGGCTGGGGGAACAGGAGGACATAATTAAGCTCATAACAATATCTGTCATTAACTTGGGGAAAATCTCAGTTATTATTGCTTCAAATATGTCTTCTGTTCTTTTCTTTCTTCTCTGATTTTCCCATTACATGTATGTTATGCCTTTTATATTATAATTACCCCCACAGTTTTTAGACATTCTGTTCTGTCCTCTCTTTCTCTCTCTATTTTTTTTTTTTTTTTTTTGACAGTGTCTCACTCTGTCACCCAGGCTGAAGTGCAATGGCATGATCTTGGCTCACTGCAACCTCTGCCTCCTGAGTTCAAGCAATTCTCATGCTCAGCCTCCTTAATAGCTGGCATTACAAGCATGAGCCACCATGTGCTAATTTTTTTTTTTTTTTTTTTTTTGGTATTTTTAGTAGACACAGGGTTTCACCATGTTGGCCAGGCTGGTCTTGAACTCCTGGCCTCAAGTGATCAGACTGCCTTGGCCTCCCAAAGTGCTGGGATTACAGCATGAGCCACTGCGCCTGACATTTCCTGTCTTTTTTATACTTTTTTTTCTCTTTGTATTTCAGTTTGGAGGTTTCTTTTGACACATGTCCAAACTCTACTGATTCTTTCCTCAATCATGTCCAGTCTATTGATGAACTAATTTTTCATTCTTCATTTCTATTATGTTTTTTATTTCTTGAATTTCATCATAGTTCCTTTTAATTTCATACCTGATGATTCCCATATATTTTCCATATTTAGTCTGGTTCTCATGCTTGCTCTGACTCTTCAAACTGTGTTTTTTGTCTTTTAGTGTGCCTTGGAATTTTTTTTGTTGTTGACAGTAGGATGTGATGTACTAAATAAATGAGGCATACAGGCCATTACTGTGAGGTTTTATGTTTATCTGGCTAGTAATTGAGCTGTGTTTACTGTTTGCTGTAGCTAGAGGCTTTAGAGGCTAACATCTCCTCTGATGTCCTTGTTTTTATTCCCCGCTGTTGTCTTTGGGTTTTCCTAGAAACTTCTTCTTAAATAAGGCATGGGTCATACAGTTCTTTCCGTTGCGTTCATCTGTTATTATACAGGAGCCCTACTGGTATTGTGGTAAGGTGCAGGGGAAGGGGGATGCTTTGTATAATCTGATGATTAGGACCCAGTCCCACAGTGAGCCTCTACCCCTGGGCCATGATCTCCACATGTGCTCCTTGGGTTTTGGGGGTTTTTCCTCTTTAGGTGCAATGGGAAGGATAGAGGGGCTGGAGTTGGATATTTCCCTACTCCCCGGTGGTTTAGGCTCTGCTATAATCTCAGTCTGTTGGGCTCTGGGTAATACAGTTTCTTTTGAGACAGGCCATAAGAAGAACAGAGTGACCTGGGTGTATTTCGGAATGGTTACTTTTTCCCTGTTCCTTGTTGGAAGCATTAGGAAATTTCTCCCTGACCCTCATTGTGCAAACCTAGTAGGGCTCCTGGAAGTAAAAGTCACAAATGTGTGGTAGCCCCCTTAAAACTGCTCCCTGATCCTCAAAGGAGTTTTTAATGCTCAAATTAATCCACATTGAGCCTCGAACAACTAATCAGTTGCAGTTTAAGTTTTTCTATCCCAATGTTGGTTTTCCCAAAGGTTTCTGTTACTCTAGGTCATGATTCTCTGTACATTTCTGTCTTTGTCTCCAATCATGGGGTCAATGGTTTGCCCTCTGACATCAATCCTCTGAGGGATTTCAGAGGAATTGTTGGTTTTTACTTCTTCAGCTTTTTTTTTCTTTGTGAGATTGGATGGGAGGGATGACTTCCAAGCTCCTTAAATGCCAGAGCAGACTCCAGAGAGCAGATGTTTGCAAGGGAAAGAAGGATAAACAAAGCATGACTATGTTGTTTTTATTTATTTATTTTGTTTCTGCTTTTCGTTCTTTTTTACACCCTCTTCAGTATTTCTACATGGAATAGGCTCTGAGTCAACCTCTGAGAGTAATGGGATACTTAAAGTTGGTTGTTTCTTCTCCATGAGTTCTCCCTTTCCAATGAGCTTTGGAAAGTATCTGAAATCCAGCCATTAGTGTCATGGAAAATGTCTCTTTTGGGGTAATTATTTTCCACCTTGGTTTCCCTTTAGCTTTGGAGCTGCTGTGAAACAGAAAAGGAGAGAAACCTGGCACTCTCAATTGGCAGGGCATGAATAAAAGGAGAGAGAAATAAAATAAGATTGTATTTATCTAAGCAGAATGCTAATAAGACTTGCATGTTTTTAAACTTTATACATTTTCTACCATCAACCTGTAAAGAACAAAATTAGCATGTTAATGTTCCAATGTTTGTTCTCAAAGCTATCATAATCGATGAGTGTTTCTAAATTGATGTGCCCTGGAACAAGATCAGAGATAGATCCAGGAAGAAAAATAAAACATTACATCTTACCAGGAATATCTCATCATCATTCTGTTGTGGGGTGGGGGGAGGGGGGAGGGATAGCATTGGGAGATATACCTAATGCTAGATGACGAGTTAATGGGTGCAGCGCACCAGCATGGCACATGTATACATATGTAACTAACCTGCACAATGTGCACATGTACCCTAAAACTTAAAGTATAATAATAATAAAAAAAAGAAAATTAAAAAAACAAAAAAAACAAAAGGAAGAATTTTGAAGAATGAATAAACATAGATAAAATAACATTTTTCTTATTGTTAATTTAACAGATAACAGTTTGTTCAAAATAAAAAAAAAACAAAATTACAGATGCTCTGGGATAACTGCAATTTTAAAGCACAAAATAAGCAACATTAAAAATATCCACTGATTCAGCCAAATTGCAGTAGTGTAGCCTCCTAATTTGTGGAAGTGATGGACTTTCATATAACTTCCTTAATAAAAAGGAAGTTTTTTCGTTTTAGCAAAAACAAAAAACAACAAAACCCATTTTAGCAAAAACGAACAACAACAAAACCCATTTACCTAATACGACAGTGAGAACCAACTCATTGTGTAAGATTATTTATTAAAAGGAACTAAAACATTTAAGGCATCTTAAAAATGAAAATTATGGCCGAAAGTATTCTACTCCTTTCGAAAATATTCCAAGTTTTTGTCATTTCAAAACACAAAACTTCCTGATCAAATGTGTAAGTCATTAAAAGGTCTGGCTTTTACCTTATATATACAAGGACTAAAACATCTGATTTACTCTCTTACCCAGATTTTTACATGTAGGTATGCATGTATATGAATAATGCTCGTGCATATAAATGTACTGTATGCATACTTACATCATGCATACATACAAAATAAAAACAATTATTCACATGGAGATTAAAATATTCTGAAACATGGTATCTGTAAAATAAAATTAAAACCATATTAATATGTTTGGGATGTATCCCTGGTTTATAATCTCAATCTCTAGAAATGCTCTCTGTTGTACTAAAAATAGCTTCACATATTAACTGAGCCACCAGCTTGGAAGTGTTTTGCTGGTTGTGTCTCCGAATGCTGAAGCGAGCCTGCTGAGATTAATTCCTACCGACCTGTGCTACTGGTTTTCCAGTTTGGCTCCTTCCTCCCTGTAAGTATGCAGGCTTGTAGTCTTTTCATCTAAACCCATCAGCAGAGATATGAAAAGAGAAATAGAAAATGTTTGGTAGCAACAGATGTTCAAACATGCCTAATTAGTGTCTGTTTTATTTCGTGTCTTTACATTATTACTCATGTAGTATACAGGAAAAAAATTCCATTAATGAAAACAGAATATGCAAATGTAAATATATATATTTATTTATATATTAAAAATTATGTGTTTGTGTTGGGAGTGAGGAAGGAATGATTGCTTTATGTAAGAAGCCCAGAATTGGAAGCCTTGAAATTCATTACAATTTGAACTCAGCAAAAGAAGCAATGTGCTTCTCAAGAAGGAACTAGTTCTGAAGCCTTTACAAGTCTTTAGAATATTTTGAGGATTGACCATCCCTCAAGTGCATTATATTTCACTATTTCTTGAAGTGTGGCCCTGACTTGCCTGTGACAATTGGAATGATTTTGAAGTAAAGATTACTGACCTCTTTCCCAACCAATTAAATCTGGGCTGTAGCTCAAGCATTGACATTATTAATAAGCTCTTTCAGATGTACATTAAAGTGTAAAAACTATTTATATTTAGTTTACTGGGACAAATTAATTTGATATTTGCATTTCTGGTGGCTTGTACTTTTTGTCTCATTTTAAATGTTACTCCTGCTTGTCCAACTACATTTTAAATAATAGCATATCAGAAATTGGAATAACACTTACCAGCTTACATCACACCTTTACATACATTATCTGATTTAATCCCTCACAGAAAATCTTTTTTTTTTTTTTTTTTTTTTTTTTTGAGACAGAATCTCGCTGTGTCGCCCAGGCTGGAGTGCAGTGGCACGATCTCAGCTCACTGCAAGCTCCGCCTCATGGGTTCACGCCATTCTCTTGCCTCACCCTCCCGAGTAGCTGGAACTACAGGCCCCTGCCACTTCGCCTGGCTAATTTTTTTTTTTTTTTGGTATTTTTAGTAGAGACCAGGTTTCACCGTGTTAGCCAGGATAGTCTCCATCTCCTAACCTCATGATCCGCCCACCTCAGCCTCCCAAAGTGCTGGGATTACAGGCGTGAGCCACTGCGCCCGGCCAGAAAATCTTTAAAGTACAGTAAGCCATACTCTACAAGTGAAAAATCACAGTCAGATAGATAGAGGACCTGCCCTATGACTAAAAACAATTGAGCTGGGATTGGAACCCAAGGTTTCTGACTGGGTTTTATGCTTTTCTCACACCATCAGACTTGCCTTAAATTCATGGTCCACTGGGCATGAGTGTTTTTCAGTTGGATTTCCATACCGTTGTTGTGTTTACAAGACTTACAGATAGCTGGATGTTTAGCTATAGGCACCCAGTATGCAGTGGCTATCCAATTCTAAAGTAAAGACAAGAGATTGGTGTTGGACAGAAAGATTTTTGAATCACTAGAGTCAGGTTATAGTTAAAGCCATGGTCGTGGATGAGATCATTCAGAGAGGACATGTAGACTAAGACAAAAAGAGGGCCCAAGTTGGAACCTAGAGAACATTAACATTTAAGAAGAAATCACCAGAAGAAGAATCAAGAGAGAAAATGAGAGATGTAGGGAGATCAGATTTCAGGGAGAGGATGAGAGGTGAAGAAGCAAAGGCAGCAGTAACCTTGGACTGCTTTCCCAAATATTTGGCAATGAAATGAGAGAAAGAGATGGATGGATGGATGAATAGATAAGGGGAAAAAGACAGAGAAAGAACCTCCCTGCAAGATGTAAATGATGCTGAGTCAGTGGTATGGTGTTCAATATGGAAGGGAGTTGGATTTATTTGGGAATTAAAGGGAAGCTTCAATGAAAGGAGAGAGATTGAGAGAGAGAAAGACAATAAATGCGTCTGGCACAGATGTTTAGCTTTTGCCCAGAATATAGTAGGAATGAACTAGAGAATTCTTTAAAAAAAATTTTTTTTTAATTGGCCAGGTATGATGGCTCAGGCCTGTAATCCCAGCACTTTGGGAGGCCGAGGCAGGTGGATCATTGCCTGGCCTGACCAACATGGAGAAACCCCATCTCTACTAAAAATAAAAAAAATTAGTTGGGCGTTGTGGCACACACCTTTAATTCCAGGAACTTGGGAGGCTGAGGCATGAGAATCCCCTTGAACCTGGGAGGCGGAGGTTGCAGTGAGCTGAGATGACACCACTGCACTCCAGCCTGGGCCACAGAGTGAGACTCTGTCTCAAAAAAAAATTAATTGACACATAATAGTTGTATGTATTTATAGGGTACATAGTGATGTTGCAATACATATAATATACGGTGATTAGATCAGGGTAATTAGCATATTCATTATCTCAAACACTATTATTTCTTTGTGCTGGGAACATTCAGTATCCTCTTTCTAGCTCTTTGAAACCATGCATTATTGTTAACTATAGTCATGTTACAGTGCTACAGAACACTAGAATTTATTCCTCCTCTCTAGCTCTAAATTTCTATCCTTTAACCAATTTCTCCCTAACCCCTCTTCCTCCTGCCTATCCCAGCCTCTAGTTTCCTCTGTTCTACTTTTTGCTTCTGTAAGATCAACTATTTTTTAGCTTCCACATATGAATGAGCACATGCGTTATTTAACTTTCTGTTTCTGGCTTATTTCACCTACCGTAATGTCTTCCGGTTTCAAGGGCCAAACGCCCCACATTTATTTACATACAAACCGTGTTCCACAGAACTTTGATGGTTGGAGTACATCACACCTGACAGCTCCAAGACCTTTTGAGGAACCGAAACTTGATGACAGTATATCATGCAAGTATCTATATATACACAAAAGAATTTCTTTCCTTAAAAAAATGTTCGAAATATGTTCAGGGATAAATACAAGATATAAAAACACGAAAGCAAGCACAAAACAAAAGCAAATATCAGAACTTTCCCAAAGAACCACAAACAGAAGGGACAGAAGGGACAGAAGAGCACGTCTGCTGCACTTTAATAAAGCAGGGCTACCAATGCTAAATACACTTATGGAAGTGACCGAACTAAACCCAGGTGGCTCGGTGTTTAATTTAATGGCCAGTTGCAATACACAGGTGGCTGCACTGATAAGTCAGTGGTTGAAGCTGTGCATCCCGACTTCAAGTACTAGAACATTTGCCAGTAGCACCCAGAACAGGAAAGCCTCAGTTCCTTAGACAGCAAAAGGTTAAGTCAACTGTGTCAAGAGCCAGAGAAATACTTGATATTCTTAAATGCATTTGTGTCATAGTTAATAAATTACATGACAAAAAGCTGACTATATAGATCTATTGGCCTACTACTTCTGTCGTAGTCCAGCCCTTTCATAACTGTATCTCCTTGTGCTCTGTAAGCCAGCCTTGCAAATGGAACCATAGTTTTCCATCCATGCTAGCATTTAGAGCTGAGTTTCAAAGACATCTTGTTATGACACATTTAGGTAGGGTAAAAGATTCCATGGCTGTGTTATCTTACTCTAGGTAAGTTATAGGTAGAAAAATAACTTAGCGATAATAATAAAGTGACACTATATAGGCAAAATTGTAGACTAGGGGTGGGAATATACAAGGAAAACAGACATATTTGTTTCAGAAGATGGGGTATGGATAACTCGCATTTGTACTGTAAAGTATACATATTTTATTGGTGAAATAATTGGAAGTTTATAGTCTAGAAATGTCATTGATGCAAATATGCTTCATTGCACTGTATGGGATTCACCAAACAACTTATAACAAACTAAATTGATGAGGATAACATAAACATAAATTTTCAACTTAAATTCATAAACATCAGTCTCTGAAAATCATGACCAACTCAGAACACTGAGGAGCAGTAATAAAACATCCTCTTGGAATGGAAAATTACTGGAATCCCAATTATCCAAGGACGTGTGCATTCACAACTTTGTGATTCTGCTGCGTATGATGTGACAGGCAGACTTTCTAGGAAAGTCCGAATTAGAGGTCTCAGGAAATTTTATTAACAAGCAAATTTAGTTCGTGCGTTCCAAATGTTAGCATAACCTTTTTGCATGTTGTTTCCCTGCAACCTGAAGGAAACACTTGCAGCCCTGGGCTGTTTTCTAGTCCTCAGAGCAATGGAATTCAGGTCTTTCTTTGAGAATCACAGATTTAGGTGGCTTGTTCACATTAACAAACTTTCCTAGTCCCAATTCCTTGGGTAAACCAAGCGGTCCTCCTAGTTTTCTTGTGAATTAATTGAATCAGGTAAGCAGGTACCTTTTTCAAGTGACAATAGAAGCACTTAGAGGATAATAATTCTGGTCATTCACAGGTGAGGGAGGAATTACTTTGGAACCTGGGTTGCCTTCTATCTTAGGTGGAGCTTTTACCTGGCAGGGAGGGAGTGGAAGGGAGGTAGAGGGTTTTGACAGTGTCAGTGTAAGAGCAACTCCCCTTTACGTAAATGTAGGCTTAACAACTATAGGAAAGACGTTGATTGATTGATTCATTCATTCATTTGTTCATGTGGGCTTAAGAACTACAGGAAAGACATTCGTTCATTCATTCATTTGTGTAGGCTTAGTAACTTCAGGAAGTGCATTTGTTTCATTGAAAATTTTTCTTTTTTTAATTTAATTTAATTTTTATTATGCTTTAAGTTCTAAGGTACTTGTGCACAATGTGCAGGTTTGTTACATATGTATACATGTGCCATGTTGGTTCACTGCACCCATTAACTCGTCGTTTACATTAGGTATCTCTCCTAATGCTATCCCTCCCCCCTCCCCCCACCCCACGACAGGCCCCGGTGTGTGATGTTCCTCGCCCTGTGTCCAGGTGTTCTCATTGTTCAGTTCCCACCTACGAGTGAGAACATGTGGTGTTTGGTTTTCTGCCCTTGGATATCACTGAACATTTTTCTAAAGAAAAAGTTAACCATGGTGGCTATGGTAAAAACAAAAACTGTTCTGACTTTGTAAGGAGACTCCTTAAAAATCAAAGAATGGAAGGGAAAATTAAAAAATAAAAATAAAAGAAGACCATGGATAAGATTGTTTATAATTTAAATCAAAACGAATGGCATGTATTTTATGGATCGGCACTCTTATTTCATGAAAATTCCATTCTCTCAAGTCTAGCGGTTAAGGCCGACAAGACGCCATGTTTCACTTGGTTGGTAAATGTGTCTACAGGAGAGGACTTATCTTGTCATTGCTTCAATATTGAGGGGTGAGGGGAAACAGAACGTTGCTCACTTATTACGGGATAAGATTTACTTTTTGATCAAACATTGAAGTTATCTCAACGTGGGATGTTTAGAGACAGGGCCTTTCACTAACACCCTAGGTGGTAAACATTCTGCCTCTGCTGCATCCCTTGTTGGGGAACAGCTTTTTGTGCTATTTCTGAAACAACAATACTCCTTTTAAGCTCAAGTGATCTGCCAAAAAAAATTCTTTCATGAAAACCTCCTTAAAAGGAAACACATATCTAACTTCATCTTTTCCTTGAGCAAACTTTAGTATTTTATTATTTTAGTATTTAGTATTTTATTTCTACGATTTAGTATTTTATTTATTTTATTTCTATTTACTATACTAATACTATTTAGTATTTAGTATTTTATTTATTTTATTTCTACATTCTCTTAACAGAAGGGAGATTTATACTATTTTATTTATAAGATTTATACTAGCATATTTAAAATATACTATTTTATTCTCCTGAACAAGGAGAGGAACCCTAACCATGTTTTGACATTTTTTCAGGCATGACAATTGCATACACTAAAACTCTCCATTGCCCCAGGATGTCAAGGTCAGTGTTAAACCTTGACTTTCTTTAGTCATGGAATGTCAGAGCTGGAGGGAATCTAGCATCCCATTCAACAGTTTCAGGTAAAGGTGAGGCAGCCAAAGTCCGGAGATCTACAGGAATCACCAAGCCAAGATCACACCTCTCCTTCCTGGCCAAGTTTAGAATACACTAAAAAGTTAGATAAGTAGGAAGATGCCTGAATCCTTCCCTAGAGTATTTAACAAAGATTTTCTATAACTTATTCTTAAGCAGCTGTACCTTTTCTCAGGCTCTTAGGTATACCAAATTTATTACACCATTGTATTTCTAGCTTTGTTATGGGACAGATTTTGTGAAGCTGTGTTTTATGTGATTGACCTGAGCTATGCTTTTTTGCTAGGTTTGAGGTGTTGGGTTCTTGTTAAAGAGGCTCCTCTTTGAGCCAAGAAATGTTTTTCTAAGGCAGCCCAGTGCCCTGCTGTTGCTTTCTGGTTTCTTTGCAAAGCTTTGGCCAGCTGCCAGCTGTTATAATAAAAGCAACAGTGATAACACATTGTACTCCTAGTAGATCACTGTGCTATTTGTCCAGGTCCAGTGCTATACCACAGGTTGGATTCCCCAGAGGGAGGTAGAAATGGTAAGGCTTGCAAAGACTGCTTATACTTATTTCTGTTTTAGGCATGTTTTTCTAGCTTGGAAAAGAAAAATGTCTTTGCTTAGGTTATACGGAGGACCTAGAATCCCTCTGCCCAAGTGACTGTTCCAATTCTTGGTTCATACCACGAGATGAAACACTCTAGAGTTCAGTGTGTCAAGAGGGACGTCTGGGAATGGAGTCACCAGCACACTACTTTGCAATTGCTGAGTGCACTCTGAAGGTTAAATCCTGCTCAAAGGCTGGTGCAGTACCCTGGGAGGGCATTTAATGATGTACCTGTGTGGGCTATCCAAAGCACAGATACGCAGACACAGGAGGAGTCATCAAAGAGAATCGTTTCACCACCTCTTTCCAGAGTGATCAACACAGCCTTGTTGTGAACTTTATAGATATTTGCTTAGAGTTCCTAGTCTCCATCTAGTATTACTATGCCTCAAGCCACTGTAGCAAAAATACTTTCAGAGGATTGCCCTGCTAAAACCAGTGTGGCAATATGGGTGGTAGGACTATGCCGGGCAGATGGTATGAGATGGAACCTGGGAAATTAGTAGCTCCAGGTTCAAAGCCCCAGCTAGCATTTTCACTGGTGAATTTCACATCGTAACTGACATGACCAATTTTTAAGATGCACATTTACAAATACTTGTTGAGCATCTAGTCATGTGCAAGGCATTCTCTTCATGCAATGGCGGGATTAGAGGTGAGATCCCTGGTGCATGTCATCTTAGAGCCAAGGAGAGGAAACAGGTAGAGTCCAAAAACAAACTTTACCCTTCAGCGTAGCTCCAGCATGACCTTCCCCTGATGACTAATTCTTTATCCAGGAATACATTCGCTCAGGACTTGAACTCCACACTCCAACGCTTCCACTGAGCACCCTGAGTGCATTGCATTTTCCCATTCCTTCTGTCTGATCCACCAGGAAGAATATAAGTTTTGGAATCAGACTAACTGGGCTTCATATCCTGACTCAGCAATTAATAGTCAACACCTTGTGTCAATGACTTCACTTTTTTGAGCCTCAGTTTTCTCAGTTGTGGTTGGGTGCAAAATGGAATCTGATTTTGAGATCCCATTTTATTCCCAATCATACATGGTTACTCAGTCAGTAGTTTCCTCCCTTCCTCTCTCCGCCTACCTGTCGCTGCTTCTTTCTGGTTCTTCTATTCTCTGTATTGAAGATATTGCAAAATCTTTGTTGGTAACAAGGGTTCTTTTACATATTCTTCATTATGTTTGACATATATCATGTTAACAAGGCAGACGGGTAAGAAAATCAGGGTTGCAGTCTTAGTTATTGCTGGATTCATGGAACATAAGATTTTTTTTTCTGACTTCCTAAAAAAATATGGCAAGCACCAATCAACACATAGTGCTGTGGCAACAGTCTTAAATGGATTTTGATTTGCAAATCATATTATTCTTGTCTTAAAATATATTCATTGGTTTCCTTGGAAACTTTGATTTTAAGGTGTGCATTGTAAGTTTCAAAGTTTATAACCATAGTGATATGGATCATTTTAGCATCTCCTGGTCTTTATTTTTTTTGTACCCTGAACTGGCAAAAGTGTTAGCTACTGGTAATTTTTAAGGGCAAGCACCCTATCATGCTTTAGAATCATTTATGATGTTTGTGTATTTAGCCATGCATGGAGCATTGAAAATACCATGCATTATGAACTGAAATTGAAAAAGATCTGAACTGTCCCTTATTCAACATTTTAAAAATATGTTTATATCCATATACCTATATTATTCTTCTGTGGACTAAGTATAATGTCCAGTATCATCCAGCTTGATTGGCTAATGATCAATATTCCATGCTTGGCAATTCATATAAACTTTTCCAGACCTTCTTTGCCAACACCCATTGAAAGAACAGTTTCATTTGTCCCATAAACTCAAAATAGAGAACAAGTACTCTTTTAAAGCAGGTTTTCTAAAATTTAGATTTCTGTTGATTAATCCCTCTGGGCAATTTGAGAGAGACAGAGGAAGGAAGAGAGAGAGAATAAATGCTATCCTTTTACAAAACTGCAGGTAACAAGCATATATTTCAATAAAAATACAAAACATATGACTCTAAATAAACTTACTCCAAAATTACATAAGAAAATAAGTTAATTTTATTCTCACACTTGAGTGTGTGTTTGTATGTGTGTGTTGAAGATGAGCTATTACACATAGACCACACACAAAATGCAGCAGAGTGCACTTTAAGAAATGTCAAAGCTTTGTAACACTCCCGTCCTGATCTTTTCTGGGAGAAGGTATTATATTACTCACTTTTAGTTCACATAGTTAATTATCTTAATTTTAAATTTTCAATAAATTTTATTCTTTTCTCCATCCTGACTCTCTCCTCCCAAAAACAGGGAATGACTTATGTTGTGTCTTGGAACTAAGAGAAGCCAAAACTTAAAATTTACTTACCTGGAATGAAGATGAGAATGCAGAGTAGTAACAGATGCCACCGTTGTAATTAAAAGCTATCTTAGTTCATTTAGTGTTGCTAGGAAGGAATAGCGGACTCTGGGTAATTTATAAACAAAAGAGGTTTATTTGGCTCACAGTTCTGCAGACTGTACAAGAAGCATGGCACCAGCACCTGCTTCTGGTGAGGCCCTCAGGCTGCTTCCTCTCATGGGAGAAGGTGAAGGAGAGCTGACGTGCAGAGATCACATTGCAAGAGAGGAAGCACAAGTGAGGTGGGAAAGTGCAAGGCTCTTTTTAACAACCAGCTCTTATGGTTGCTAAAAAGAGAATTCACTCATTACCACTAGGATGGCACCAAGCCATTCGTGAGGGATCTGTACCCATGACCCAAACACCTCCCATTAGGCCCCACCACCATCATGGGGATCAGATTTCAACATGAGGCTTGGAGGGGTCAGATATCCAAACCATAGCAAAAGCCAAATGTTGCAAAATCTTGGACTCATCATAGGAAGATCAGCATTGTTGTGGGGAAAATAACTAGGCCAGTTCTGCCAACTATAATTATCTATAATTATTTATTTTTAATATATAATTAACATATCATTGATATAAATATATTATTCTTCCCACTAATGAATAGGCAATAACCCTTAAGTGACGAAGGAGATTTGTGCTGTCCAACATGGAAGCCATTAATTACATATGACTATTTAAATTAAAAAATTTAAATATCACTTAAATTAAATTAAAAATTCTGTTCCTTCATCTCCTAGTCACATTTCAAGTGCTCTGTAGCCACATGTGGCTAATGGCTATCATATTGGACAGCACAGACATACCACATTTCTGTTATCACAGAAAGTTCTAGCAGACAGCACTGATGAGCAAATTTTCTGGCCTACTTTGATATATTTGTTTCCTCTTCTTTTTGACAGCTGATTCTTTGTGGCATAACCCATGTTGTTGTCACTCATAATTCTGTGCAGCATGGTCTTGAAAAGTCTGAACTCTGCCTTCATGATTATTTAAACTTTGCTATCAGAACACCAATATGTTTTTCTTGGATTTTTATTATAAAAGTAATTTTTATTCCCTGTAGAAAACTTTCAAAGTATGGAAAGAAAATACAAGATAACACAAGGCAACCTAAAATGACCTAGGAATTATTAGCATTTCTAAAATTATACTATGTTGCATTTTGCTACTTTTAAACACATATACATATTCTTCAAAATACAATTGTATGTCCTATTATTTGCTTGATATTATGTTATGATAAGTTACTAATATCATTTAATTCTCTACAAAAACATTGTTTTAATAGTTGCATAACGTTCTGTCATTTAGATGTCCCATAGTTGTTTAAATATTTAGTTTTGTTTCCTAGTTTCTCTCTATTGTAAACAAACCAGTAATCTACCATCTTGGAATCAAGTAATTGCATTTGTCTGACTTAAAGACCAGCCTGGGCAACATAGTGGAAGTTTGTCTCTATTTTTAAAAAATTAAAATATATGAGCATATATGGCAGTTGAATAGAAGGGACAGCATCAAACATTAGAAACATCTTGTCTTTCTGGTTTTGTGGCTTAAAATGTGACCCAGGGCTCATGCATATAATCATGTCCTAAAATTTCCCTGTTAAAGGTGCAAAGAAATGTAATGATAGTGTACTCCAGAAAAAAAGAGAAATAACAATGGTAGCCAAATAAAATATATTTATTTTAAGTTAACATTTTATTTCATCATCTTGGCAAAATATTACCATGAGATTAGCTCTTCACAGCAAAGGTTCTATAGTAAGTAGAGATATGTCTAAATAGTTGTAATGCTTCTTATTTGTAGTTTTTTGTAGTTTAAACTCAACCAATTGTTTACAAAAACATATTTTTCTATATAGTTGACAAGAAACATTAGATTTTTACCTCCCTGATGGTTTTAGTAGTTTGCATTTGAAATAGTTTTCAACTGAGACCTTCTGTCTTACCAATTGATTGAATTTATGGAAACCATTTTGTGGGACAACTTCCTAAAGGAAAGCAGCCTTTCTGATGAATAAAATCTGGAGAGAAAAACATTTCGATGGCTCTATTGACCCTTAACATAAAGGGTTGTCAGAACTAAAACAAATGCCCTATTTCTTTAGACACAAAGAAATGGTAGCTAAAAATGTAACAATACATTACTAGGTGTATCAGAGAAAATATATAACTAGATGTGAGAAACGAAGAATGAATTTAAATGAAGAGTGATAAGTTTGAAAGCCTGCAGAGGTCTGGGAGAATACTGGATTTAATATTCCACTAGGAGTGGGAATGAGGAGTAATGCTCCCAAAGTGACAGTGAACATGACTTGGAGACCATACGTAGTGAGGAGTAGTGACTGAGACCCCAGAAGAAAGACAGGACCTCAACGTCAAGCCATTATAACTATGCCAACCAACCCAGGGAAGCAATAAGGAAGTGGAAAGAGAAACAAGTTAGTATCTTAGAAGAAGTAAAACCCCAAGCCTGTGCTATGCGTAAGTATGATGTCAGGAATCACCAAGCCAATAAATAAACATAAAAACTGGGTTCAGGCTTTCGAGCCCTTGGAATACGTGGTGTGGTAGGTTATTCTTGCATTGCTGTAAATACCTGAGACTGGGTAATTTATAAAGAAAAGAGTTTTGGTTCTTGTTCCAAGATGGCTGAATAGGAACAGCTCCAGTCTACAGCTCCCAGCATGAGCGACGCAGAAGACGGGTGATTTCTGCATTTCCAACTGAGGTACCAGGTTCATCTCACTGGGGCTTGTCAGACAGTGGGAGCAGCCCACGGACCATGAGCTGAAGCAGGGTGGGGCATCGCCTCACCTGGGAAGCACAAGGGGTCGGGGAATTCCCTTTCCTAGCCAAGGGAAGCTGTGATAGACAGTACCTGGAAAATCGGGACACTCCCACCCTAATACTGCACTTTTCCAATGGTCTTAGCAAACGGCACACCAGGAGATTATATCCCATGCCTGGCTCGGAGGGTCCCACACCCACGGAGCCTCGCTCACTGCTAGCACAGCAGTCTGAGATCGAACTGCAAGGCAGCAGCGAGGCTGGGGGAGGGGTGTCTGCCACTGCTGAGGCTTGAGTAGGTAAACAAATCGGCCAGGAAGCTCGAACTGGGTGGAGCCCACCGCAGCTCAAGAAGGCCTGCCTGCCTCTGTAGACTCCACCTCTGGTGGCAGGGCATAGCTGAACAAAAGGCAGCAGAAACTTCTGCAGACTTAAACGCCCCTGTCTGACAGCTTTGAAGAGAGTAGTGCTTCTCCCAGCACAGAGTTGGAGATCTGAGAATGGACAGACCGCCTCCTCAAGTGGGTCCCTGACCCCCGAGTAGCCTAACTGGGAGGCACATCCCAGTAGGGGTCAACTGACACCTCATATGACTGGGTGCCCCTCTGAGATGAAGCTTCCAGAGGAAGGATCAGACAGCAACATTTGCTGTTCTGAAATATTTGTTGTTGTGTAGCCTCAGCTGGTGATACCCAGGCAAACAGGGTCTGGAGTGGACCTCCAGCAAACTCCAACAAACCTGCAGCTGAGGGTCCTGACCGTTAGAGGGAAAACTAACAAACAGAAAGGACATCCACACCAAAACCCCATCTGTACGTCACCATCATCAAAGACCAAAGGTAGATAAAACCACAAAGATGGGGAGTAACCAGAGCAGAAAAGCTGAAAATTCTAAAAATCAGAGTGCCTCTTCTCCTCCAAAGGAATGCAGCTCCTCGCCAGCAACGGAACAAAGCTGGATGGAGAATGACTTTGAGGAGTTGGGAGAAGAAGGCTTCAGACGATCGGTAATAACAAACTTCTCTGAGCTAAAGGAGGATGTTCAAACCCATTTCAAAGAAGCTAAAAACCTTGAAAAAAGATTAGACGAATGGCTAACTAGAATAAACAGCGTAGAGAAGACCTTAAATGACCTGATGTAGCTGAAAACCGTGGCATGAGAACTACGTGACACATACACAAGCTTCAATAGCCGATTCGATCAAGTGGAAGAAAGGGTATCAGTGATTGAAGATCAAATGAATGAAATGGAGCGAGAAGAGAAGTTTAGAGAAAAAAGAGTATAAAGAAATGAACAAAGCCTCAAGAAATATGGAACTATGTGAAAAGACCAAATCTTCATCTGATTGGTGTATCTGAAATTGACAGGGAGAATGGAACCAAGTTGGAAAACACTCTTCAGGATATTTTCCAGGAGAACTTCACCTACCTAGCAAGGCAGGCCAACATTCAAATTCAGGAAATACAGAGAACGCCACAAAGATACACCTCGAGAAGAGCAACTCTAAGACACATAATTGTCAGATTCACCAAAGTTGAAATGAAGGAAAAAAATGTTAAGGGCAGCCAGAGAGAAAGGTCAGGTTACCCACAAAGGGAAGCCCATCAGACTAACAGCTGATCTCTCAGCAGAAACTCTACAAGCCAGAAGAGAGTAGGGGCCAACATTCAACATTCTTAAAGAAAAGAATTTTCAACCCAGAATTTCATATGCAGCCAAACTAAGCTTCCTAAGTGAAGGAGAAATAAAATCCTTTACGGACAAGCAATTGCTGAGAGATTTTGTCACCACCAGGCCTGCCTTATAAGAGCTCCTGAAGGAAGCACTAAACATGGAAAGGAACAACTGGTACCAGCCATTGCTAAAACATGCCAAATTGTAAAGACCATCGATGCTAGGAAGAAACCACATCAACTAATGAGCAAAATAACCATCGAACATCATAATGACAGGATCAAATTCACACATAACAATATTAACCTTAAATGTAAATGGGCTAAATGCTTCAATTAAAAGACACAGGCTGGCAAATTGGATAAAGAGTCAAGACCCATCAGTGTGCTGTATTCAGGAGACCCGTCTCATGTACAGAGACAACACATAGGCTCAAAATAAAGGGATGGAGGAAGATCTACCAAGCAAATGGAAAACAAAAAAAAGCAAGGATTGCAATCCTAGTCTCTGGTAAAACAGATTTTAAACTAACAAAGATCAGAAGAGACAAAGAAGGCCATTACATAATGGTAAAGGGATCAATTCAATAAGAAGAGCTAACTATCCTAAATATATATGCACCCAATACAGGAGCACCCAGATTCATAAAGCAAGTCCTTAGAGACCTACAAAGAGACTTAGACTCCCACACAGTAATAATGGGAGATTTTAACATCCCACTGTCAACATTAGACAGATCAACGAGACAGAAAGTTAACAAGGATATCCAGGAATTGAACTCAGCTCTGCACCAAGCAGACCTAATAGACATCTACGGAATTCTCCACCCCAAATCAACAGAATATACATTCTTCTCAGGACCACATCACACTTATTCCAAAATTGACCACATAGTTGGAAGTAAAGCACTCCTCAGCAAATGTAAAAGAACAGAAATTATAACAAACTGTCTCTCAGACCACAGTGCAATCAAACTAGAAGTCAGGATTAAGAAACTCACTCAAAAGCGCTCAACTACATGGAAACTGAACAACCTGCTCCTGAATGACTACTGGGTACATAACAAAATGAAGGCAGAAATAAAGATGTTCTTTGAAACCAATGAGAACAAAGACACAACATACCAGAATCTCTGGGACACATTTAAAGCAGTGTGTAGAGGGAAATTTATACCACTAAATGACCACAAGAGAAAGCAGGAAAGATGTAAAATTGACACCGTAACATCACAATTAAAAGAACTAGAGAAGCAAGAGCAAACACATTCAAAAGCTTGCAGAAGGCAAGAAATAACTAAGATCCGAGCAGAACTGAAGGAAATAGAGACACAAAAAACCCTTCAAAAAATCAATGAATCCAGGAGCTGGTTTTTTGAAAAGATCAACAAAATTGACAGACCACTAGCAAGACTAATCAAGAAGAAGAGAGAGAAGAATCAAATAGATGCAATAAAAAATGATAAAGGGTATATCACCACCAATCCCACAGAAATACAAACTACCATCAGAGAATACTATAAACACCTCTACGCAAATAAACTAGAAAATCTAGAAGAAATGGATAAATTTCTGGACACATACACACTCCCAAGGCTAAACCAGGAAGAAGTGGAATCCCTGAATAGACCAATAACAGGCTTTGAAATTGAGGCAATAATTAATAGCCTACCAACCGAAAAACGTCCGGTACCAGACGGATTCACAGCCAAATTCTACCACAGGTAAAAAGAGGAGCTGGTACCATTCCTTGTGAAACTATTCCAATCAATAGAAAAAGAAGGAATCCTCCCTAACTCATTTTATGAGGCCAGCGTCATCCTGATACCAAAGCCTGGCAGAAACTCAACAAAAAAAGAGAATTTTAGACCAATATCCCTGATGAACATTGATGCAAAAATCCTCAATAAAATACGGGCAAACCGAATCCAGCAGCACATCAAAAAGCTTATCCACCATGGTCAAGTTGGCTTTATCCCTGGGATGCAAGGCTGGTTCAACATAAGCAAATCAATAAAAGTAATCCATCATATAAACAGAAACAAAGACAAAAACCACATGATTATCTCAATAGATGCAGAAAAGGCCTTTGACAAAATTCAGCGGCACTTCATGCTAAAAATTCTCAATAAACTAGGTATTGATGGGATGTATCTCAAAATAATAAGAGCTATTTATGACAGACCCACAGCCAATATCATACTGAATGGGCAAAAACTGGAAGCATTCCCTTTGAAAACTGGCACAAGACAGGGATGCCCTCTCTCACCATTCCTATTCAACATAGTGTTGGAAGTTCTGGCTAGGGCACTCAGGCAGGAGAAAGAAATAAAGGATATTCAATTAGGAAAAGAGGAAGTCAAATTGTCCCTATTTGCAGATGACATGATTGTATTATTTAGAAAACCCCATCATCTCAGCACAAAATCTCCTTAAGCTGATAAGCAAATTGAGCAAAGTCTCAGGATATAAAATCAATGTACAAAAATCACAAGCATTCCTGTACACCAATAACAGACAAACAGCCAAATCATGAGTGAACTCCCATTCACAATTGCTTCAAAGAGAATAAAATACCTAGGAGTCCAACTTACAAGGGATGTGAAGGACCTCTTCAAGGAGAACTACAAACCACTGCTCAACGAAATAAAAGAAGACACAAACAAATGGAATAACATTCCATGCTCATGGATAGGAAGAATCAATATCATGAAAATGGCCATAGTGCCCAAGGTAATTTATAGATGCAATGCTATCCCCATCAAGCTGCCAATGACTTTCTTCACAGAACTGGAAAAAACTACTTTAAAGTTCATATGGAACCAAAAAAGAGCCCACATTGCCAAAACAATCCTAAGCCAAAAGAACAAAGCTGGAGGCATCACGCTAACCTGACTTCAAACTATACTACAAGGCTGCAGTAACCAAACCGCATGGTACTGGTACCAAAACAGAGATATAGACCAGTGGAACAGAACGGAGCCCTCAGAAATAATACCACACATCTACAACCATCTGATCTTTGACAAACCTGACAAAAACAAGAAATGGGGAAAGGATTCCCTATTTAATAAATGGTGCTGGGAAAACTGGCTAGCCATAGGTAGAAAGCTGAAACTGGATCCCTTCCTTACACCTTATACAAAAATTATTTCAAGATGGATTAAAGACTTAAATGTTAGACCTAAAACCATACAAACCCTAAAAGTAATCCTGGGCAATACCATTCAGGACATAGGCGTGGGCGAGGACTTCATGTCTAAAACACCAAAAGCAATGGCAACAAAAGACAAAATTGACAAATGGGATCTAATTAAACTAAAGAGCTTCTGCACAGCAAAAGAAACTACCATCAGAGTGAACAGGCAACCTACAGAATGGGAGAAAATGTTTACAATCTACCCATCTGACAAAGGGCTAATATCCAGAATCTATGAAGAACTTAAACAAACTTACAAGAAAAAATCAACCCCATCAAAAAGTGGGCAAAGGATATGAACAGACACTTCTCAAAAGAAGACATTTATGCAGCCAAAAGACACATGAAAAAATCTCATCATCACTGGCCATCAGAGAAATGCAAATCAAAACCATAATGACATACCATCTCATACCAGTTAGAATGGCGATCATTAAGAAGTCAGGAAACAACAGTTGCTGGAGAGGATGTGGAGAAATAGAAACACTTTTACACTGTTGGTGGGACTGTAAACTAGGTCAACCATTGTGGAAGACAGCGCAGTGATTCCTCAAGGATCTAGAACTAGAAATACCATTTGACCCAGCAATCCCATTACTGGGTATATACCTAAAGGATTATAAATCATGCTGCTATAAAGACACATGCACATGTACGTTTATTGCGGCACTATTCACAATAGCAAAGACTTGGAACCAAGCCAAATGTCCATCAATGATAGACTGGATTAAGAAAATGTGGCACATATACACCATGGAATACTATGCAGCCATAAAAAAGGATGAGTTCATGTCCTTTGTAGGGACATGGATGAAGCTGGTAACCATCATTCTGAGCAAACTATGGCAAGGACAGAAAACCAAGCACCGCATGTTCTCACTCATAGGTGGGAATTGAACAATGAGAACACATGGACACAGGATGGGGAACATCACACACCGGGGCCTGTCATGGGGTGGAGGAGGGGGGAGGGATAGCATTAGGAGATATACCTAATGTAAATGACACGTTAATGGGTGCAGCACACCAACATGGCACATGTATATGTATGTAACAAACCTGCACATTGTGCACCTGTACCCTAGAACTTAAAGTATAACTAAAAAGAAAGAAAAAAGAAAGAAAGAAAGAAAGAAAAAGAAAGAAAAAAGAGGTTTAATTGGCTCATGGTTCTGCAGGCTGTTCAGGAAGCATCGTGCTGGCATCTTCTTGGCTTCTGGTGAAGCCTCAGGGAGCTTTCAATCATGGTGGAAGGTGAAAAGAGAACAAGCATGTCACATAGTGCAGGAGCAAGAGGGAGAGAGTGAGGGGGAAGGGCCACACACTTTTAGATGACCAGATCTCACGAGAACTCACTATCATGGGACAGCCCCAAGCCATGACGGACTGTTCCATCCTCATGGTCCAAACACCTCCCACCAGGCCCCATCACTGGCATTGGGGATTACAATTCAACATGAAATTTGGGTGGGGACAAATATCCAAACTATATCACCTGGAAAAAGTAAAGCTAAAATTGCTATAGAATATTGTTTCCTAGTCCATTGCACATGGAATTCCCATAAGAAAACCTATTCTTCTGAAGGTGAGCTAGCAACGAAAATGAGAAACCACCCAAGAAAACACTGTATCATAAAGAAAAGTAAACAGATTGACAAGAAATTTATATTAGAATAATCTAAATAATATTTTTAGACCATTAAAATTATATAAAATTACCCGCAAAAAATGATATGAGAGCTAGATAATATTAGAAAAAAAAATCAGGAAAAATTCCAGGAAGATTTGATAAACAACCAAAGAGGCTTTGTAATAATACAAATATTATACAAATAAATATGGTCGTTATAATTAAAACCTCAGTGCACAAGTAAATTGGAAGAAAGATCTAGAATGCTGCACAGTTGCATAAGGAGATGGAAAATATGGAAGAGAGGTTAAAACACATAGAGTAAAGGATGTTAGACCCAGAAGAGAACACATGAGAGGGGTTTCAGTAGGAGAGCACAAGAAACAAGCAGTATTTACTGAAATCATAGTTGAGGTAGTTTTTAGAACTGAACAAGGACATAAATCCTCAAATTTTGAAAGACACTGAGCGCTAGTTACAGTTGGTGAAAATGTAAAGTCTGCCAATAGATGCACCTCCCCAAACTTGAAGAAACTCAAGGAAAAAGAGACTTTACTTTTATAAAGGAGGATTTTAAAGCAGCAAAAGAATAAATACGTAGCCTATCTCCAAAATTGTATAAGCACTCATGAAGGTCAGAAATGAAGAATAGTTTCAAGGCACTGAGAGAAAATATCAGGTAACCTATATTTGTATAGCCAGATATGATATTATTTAAATTTGACAACCAATATTGAAAGAGTTTTCCATTCACAGACCATCACTAAGAGATCTACTAAAAATAGCCTTCTATAAGCAGGAAATTAAACCAAGAAAAAAGGAATGAGATTCGAGAAGCAGTTTGGATAAAAGAAATTGATCAATGCCCAAATAAGCACTGATTGTTTTACAATGATTAATTTTGAAGTTCAAGTCAAAGTGGAATTAAAATGACACATAACAATAATATATCAGTTATGAAAAACTCTTCAATCTCATATGCTTAGTAACTTTTAATCTCACTCAAAATAATTAAAAATTTCAAGGAAGAAATTGCAATGGAAGTTGCAAAATAGAACTGGGTTTCCTTTTCCTCTGTGGGTATTCACAGAACTTTTTAGGTTGTTCAGTGGAACTGCAGATTTAAAGGACTATATATTCTCAAGTTTTGGAGTTTTGTTTTTTTTTAATGCAGTCTTTCTAAGCATCATGAAGATTTTTCTAATAAGGGAAGGCTCTCATTTCAAATAGAAGGATATTAAGACCTATTCCTAAATAATTTTCAGAGAAATGTGGTTAAATATTTGTTTTTAAATACTATGGGAGAAATATGCCTGGTTTAACATAAGCTAAATGAATCAGGGAAGAGAAAGAAAATTAACTCCTGACGAGCTCTTACATATAAAAACTCACCTGCTGCTTTACTTAAAAGCAAAATCGTTTTCTTAAAGATGTCTTTACTGCAACTATTCATTATTAATGGATTTATCTTAATAATGCAATGGATAAGTTAATCAAAGAAAAACTGAGTCACGTAGAAAGTTTATGGCTATGTTAACACTCTAGGTCCTTTAAGACTCAACAACCGTATTGCCAGTTTAGGAAAGCCTTCTTCGATTTTCACTGGCCCCACAGTAGATGGTGGTCATGAGGACTGGGTCAGTCAGCTGTCTATTTCACTGGATTGATCCTCTTGGGAGTTCAAGAACTACATCTTATTTATCTTAGCGTTCCTAGTTCCTAGGACAGTATTTATCACTTAACTAGATATTCAAAAAGATGTATTGAGTGAATGAATAAATAAGTGTTCTTGATTCTTGAAATTTATTATGTGATCTAGTTGCAACACATTTAGCTCTAAAGACACTAAGTATCTATACTCAGATTGATAGTTAAAAGAAAAATCTTAGAGAAATAGTTCAACAGAGTTTAATTGAGCAAAGAATGATTTCCAAATCAGGCAGCCCCAAATCAGAATAGGTTCAGAGAGACTGTGGTTGAAAAAGATTTATGGACAGAAAACAGAACACGGCTCATGGAAAATAGAAGTGAGGAAAAGAAACAGCCAGATTGGTTCAGCTTGACATTTTCCTTATTTGACACAGTTTCAACAGTGAGCTGCCTTTTGTTGACCAAAACTCAGTGATTGGTACAAGAGTAGGTTGTTTACACATACAGTTAGGTTCCAGTTTATTATGTATGGAGAAACCCCTAGGCCCAACTTAAAATATGTAAGAAGACAGCTTTAGGCTCAACTTAACAGCAGTAAGAAAGAAAAATGTAGGGCTGTGAAAAGCAACGTTTTAGATGACCATTTCTGAATTTCACTGAGGAGCTTTATGGTTGTCCTACGGGGCTTTTGGCTTGGGAGAATATTGATCACTTATTTCCATAGCTTGAAATTGCAGTCAAGTGAGCATACAAAAAAATAGCCCTTGTTCTAGAACCTCTAGAGAAATTTTAAGGGACATAATTGTAAGATGTCAAAAATACATCAAAATTTCCAGATGATGAAAGCAATTTAGAATACTTGGTTTTAATTTCATATTCTAAAAGGACACGTCATTACTAGGGGCCTCAGAAGAGAATGCAAGCAAAGTACATAAGAGAAACATAAGATATACTAAGGGAACCATTAGCATAGAGTTATATGATGCATTATACATACTCTGATTTAATTAACTTACATGCTCACTAAATAAGGAAGCAGTGTGAGGAATAAAAACCATAAACTACCACCCCTGGGGCAGTATCTTGCTCAGTGATGATAAGATCCTCCCGTCCTCTCAGAGTCTCTGGGGTCTTCTCAGAACTTCTTGCCCTAAAGCCTCTATTCCAGCCCTGGCTCTGTCACTTCTAGCTCTGAAAACTTTCGCCAACCCTTTTCCATTCTGAGCCATCTAATAAGAAAGCAACAAATTAAATGTGTGGTTCTTTTAACTCACACAGCTACCCTGAACTTCACAGGAGATAACATATATGGAAGTGTCTGACACACTAAATTTGAATTGCAAAGTCATGGGGGTTATCCACTTACCTGTGAAATGTATAGCAAAATATTAAAATTAATTATTGTTTACCTACTTATTTGTTTCCTCCATTTAACACAAGGAATTAGGAGACTAAGAATGTTGGTCTGAATTATATATCTCTATCTTAGTGCCTGGAATATTGCCTGGCACATTAAACAAATTAATCACTGAATGAATGCATTTAGCTTTAAAATTTAATATAAAATTACATTGTACGTTTGAAAAAAATGACTTCATTTTAATTTCTTACTTAATATATTTTAAATATAGCTTGAAGAAATAGATGCATTATAGAGAGATTCTGAATATAAATATATGGTTGGTTATTATAAAAAAGAAAGTTATGGCCAAGGTCGTGAGGCCAAATTCTAGTTTATTTCTAAAATTATATGTTCATTTGAATCTGAAGTAACACTTAGAATTATCATTACACTTCACTAAAGAACTGATAATCAGTTGCATTGCAGATATAGTTAATCTTACATTTGCATAATATGTTACAAGCTTTCAGAAAGCTTTTACATTGATAATTTCCTTCAATTTTCATAACCACCCCCCCAGTGATGCTGGAAAAAAATAATTAAATTACCTGTTTTTCAGGAATCTGGCTCAGAGAGGACAGATGACTTACTTGTTACTCAACTAAGAGCAGGTAGCAAATTTGATGAAGTTAAAGCCACTGTTTCTTAAGAGTCTTGCAAAGTTTTGTCTCACTATAATCCTTTCTTTCTGCATTGATCAGGTGATGTCACTATCCTTTCCTTGCACTCTCAAGAATATCGTAGGCCTCTTTTTTTCAGCAGGAGTATGCATTAGGTTGGTGCAAAATGAATGGCGGTTCTTGCCATTGGATATTAAACTGCTCTCCAAGCTACATTTTAGGATTTGTCCTTGATCAGAGATTGTACTAAATATTTCTCCAAATTAGAATGGCTCTTCCCAGACAACTGGGTTCAAATTCCAATGCAGCCATTTATTAGCTGTGCAACAAGAACAAATCCTGTAAACTCTCTGTGCCTCAGTTTCCTTTTCTGAAAAATAGAAGTAACAATAATACACCCACTGCACAGGGTTGTTTGGAGAAATAATTAATCTATAAAGCACAATCACAGTGCCTGGCACATGGCAAATGCTAGTGAAATGTTAACTATTATTATTATTGTTGCTGTTACTATTTTCATTATCATTCTCTTCAAGCATTATTTATTTTCATTATTTTTAACTTTAAGCAATACTTATTTTCATTATTCTCATTATTATCTTCAAGCTATTGTTAGTATTATCATAATCTTCTTCTAAAAAGGAGGCAAGGCTGGGTATGGTGGCTCACCCCTGTAATCCCAGCACTTTAGGAGGCCAAGGTGGGCGGATCACAAGGTCAAGAGATCGAGACCATTTGGGCCAACATAGTGAAACCCCATCTCTACTAAAAACACAAAAATTAGCTGGGTGTGGTGGCGCACGCCTGTAGGCCCAGCTACTCAGGAGGCTGAGGCAGGAGAATCACTTGAACCCAGAAGGCAGAGGTTGCAGTGAGCCGAGATTGCGCCACTGCCCTCCAGCCTGGTGACAGAGCGAGACTCCGTCTCAAAAAAAAAAGAAGGGCAGAAGCCCCAGAGATCAAGGAAGTATGTCCACCAGGAAACGGAGATTGTTTCATTTGACACAAGCTCCGTTTTGCAGGACTGAGTACGGGAGGGCAGAGTGTGGGGAGGGAAGTCTCTGCAAACCAGTGACTGTTTTGGCAAATAGGAGGAGTGAAGAAACAAAAGGTGGAAACTCTGAGAGATAATTGTACACGGGTCAGACAAATCCCTGTAAAATCAGCTTTTTGTACCTTCTTGGTAGCATCCGCGAACCACCATCAGCCTCTAGTGTGCGCATGCGATGGAGGAGGGGACACTACAAGAACAGGGCCAGGGCTCTTTTCAGATCACCGTCATCTCAGGGATGTTCTGTGCTGGTATTTCAAAATCACCATGCGTCATATCAGACTGATCTCTAGTTAGATAAGTAACAGAACCAAGTGGGCTGATTTGGAACAACAACAAAAAACTAATGTATTTCACCGATCAAGATAACACCAATGCTGTGTTGTTTTCCTATTGTATCATTACCACGATTATTATTGTTATTTAAAAGTCTGCTACCTGCTCTTGCTTTTACCATCCAGTCGCCTCCTAGAAGCGGAGAAATAATTACGTGTAAATCCCATCATATCACTGCTCTCACAGCTCCCAGGAGTTTCCATTGCGATAGCGAACCTGAGCCCCTAGCCAGGGCTCCGTAGGCTCCCGGCTCAGCCCTGACATAACCTCTCCCTTCCCTCCAGCTCTAGCCACCCTGCTGCTGGTGTCCCATTCCTGGACTTTTTCTGAAACGTTCCCTGCTTATTTTCTGCTCAGGGCAGTCCCCCTTGCTGTACCGATGGTGCTCTCTGCCTCTAGATATTCCTGGAGTTGATTCCCTCTTACAATTTAGATTTCAATTCAAAAGTTACCTCTCGCCAGGTGCAGTGGCTCACGTCTGTAATCCCAGCACTTTGGGAGGCCAAGGCGGGCAGATCACCTGAGGTCAGGAGTTCAAGACCAGCCTGGCCGACGTGGTGAAACCCCATCTCTACCAAAAATACAAAAATTACCCGGGCGTGGTGGCGGGCGCCTGTAGTCCCAGCTGCTTGGGACGCTGAGGCAAGGAGAATCGCTTGAACCCGGGAGGTGGAGGTTGCAGTGAGCCGCGATCGCACCACTGCACTACAGCCTGGGCAATAGAGTGGGACTCCGTCTCAAAAACAAAACAAAAACAAATGTTACCTCTTTCTTCATTGAGGCCTTTGACCGTCATAAAATCCGAAGTAGCTCTGCCCTTTGCACCCGCTGCTTCCCTCTCTCTGCCTCCGCGTTCCCTAACCTCCAGCTGTCACACACAGCCTAGTGGTTAACTGAGTCGATTCCGGTCTAATGCCTGGCTTTGACTGTCGCCTCCACCAAGAAAGTAGTACTCAGTCTCGTCCTCTCATCCAGCCTAAATTGCCTCATCAGCAAAATGGGAAAGTTGATAGCACCTCTTCTCAACGCGCGGCTGTGCAGTTTAAACAAGATAATGTATGTGAAATTCTTGAATAGTTCTTGGCTCATGGAAAGCATTCAATAAATTTTGGACATTGTTATTACTTTATTCACATTATTCTACATTGTCACACCACAGACCAGTACAAAGTAAGCCCTCTGAGAGCAATGATAGCCAACTGCGTTCATCGCCGGGTCTCCAGGCCTTAGGAAAAGCCGGGCACAAGGTGAAACAAATGAATACATCCAGTATCCACACACACCTGTCTCACTTTTCCTCCATTTTCTCCCCTTAAACGCAGAATTTCTGCTTTTCTCCAGCAACTGAAGATACTTAAGTTCAGCACCTCATGCAATTAGCCCACATAAGACCCCTTTACTGTTTTAGGATTCTTGAAATTCTTTGTAAAGCTGCCATCTTCTAGTTTTACCAGGTGAGACTGAAAGCGTACCTGGTGCAATGGCGCCCTCTGCAGGTAGACAGAAGAATTAACGTGGTCCCAGCTCCAGGAACTGCGTTCTTGAGGGACATCACCTGTGCGGGTGCAACTGCAGTGCTGTCTTTTCTGCCCTGTCCAAGACATTTTTTGCTTAGTATTTCTCTATAATGTAACCTCATTGAGGATAGAAGCTTTGTCTATACTCCCAATCCCATCACCAATATAGTAGGCACCCAGTGCATGTTTGTTGAATAAATATGTGAATAGAAAAAGAGTAGTTTTCAATCTTTTGTATCCCCAAGTGGCCCAGCAACATGGGGAAGCTACTGATAGAAAATAGTGATCAGCTGATTAATTGTATGCAACGTTTGGGTAGCAAGATAAGTGATAACACAAATAAAAGGAATGAGGGAACAGAAAGAATTAATAATTAAATAGAAAATTAAAAATATAGTTTAATGACACTGAGGTATCCATTAAACACTTAATAAAACTAGTTACATGTTTTAAATTGAAATATATTTTGAGATAATTTAAAAAAATATTTAAAAATCATTGGCAGTATATTCAAGATGCAACAGACACATGTAATTAATCGATATTGTTTACAAATCTTGGCAGTGCAAATTCATTGCAGTTCTACAAGGAAGAGACACTTGTCAAATGAGACACTAAGATAACTCTAGGTCCAACCCTGTGGTATCTCACTTAAAAAAGAACTCTATATAAAACTATATACTCTCACGCCTGTAATCCCAGGACTTTGGGAGGCCGAGGCGGGCAGATCACGAAGTCAGGAGATTGAGACCATCCTGGCTAACACGGTGAAACCCCATCTCTACTAAAAATACAAAAAATGAGCCGGGCGTGGTGGCAGGGGCCTGCAGTCCCAGCTACTCGGGAGGCTGAGGCAGGAGAATGGCGTGAACCCAGGAGGCAGAGCTTGCAGTGAGCCAAGATCGCGCCACTGCACTCCGGCCTGGGCAAAAGAGCAAGACTCCATCTCAAAAAAAAAAAAAAAAAAAACCTATATACTCAAAATGATCTTCAAAAGGATATTTCATTTATAAAAGAACTTGCTATAATTTTCTTTTGAGTAGAAACTTATGCAGTGACCTGAAAGTACAATATATCTAGTAATTCCATACATTACTTTCCGTCTGTAGTTAACACAGAACTCTCCAACACATCATCTCCAAGAATTCTTACCTCAGTCCTATGGAATAGACACACCAAGTATCTTTATTCTCATTACACAGGTGAGCAAATCAGGATGGTCTAGAGACTCATCCAATATCATAGTTAACAGGAAGGCCAGAACCCAAGGTCTTCAAACTCATGGGCCATTGTTCCTTCTATTATACCACATGGCATGTTCTAGAATATCTGTGAATGTGTCTTTCCATATTAGTGATCAGAGGATCAGACAATTAAGCAAATGATCACTATTTTCTTCCCCATGTTGCTGGGCCTTTTGGGGAGAAAAAGATTGAAAATTGCCCTTTTTCTATTCTAGGCATAGTCTGACTCTAATGTCCTGAGTAATTTAGCAGCAGTTTGGGACTCTCAGTCTCGTATTGGTTAGATCATCCTTTATTTTTAACACTCTGCTTATGTCTCTCTCTTTTTATTTGAGAAAGAAGAAAAAGAAAGAGAAAGGGAGAGAGCGGTGAGGAGTGGGAATGGGAAGGAATCAAGTGGAAACAGGTTCAGATATTCAATGAAATATGTGTTTGAAGATCATTTGGGGTTTACATTTTTATAGACAGTTATTTTATTAAGCAAGATGCCACAGGGTTGGATACAGTTATTTTAGTGTCTCATTTACCAAAATATTCAACGAATAATTCAACCATGATTCTTTTAGTCCAGATTCAATGAGCACAGATTTGAATGACAGAACTTTCCTTTGAAAGTCACACGGCTCCTCTGGGCTTATCCATTGGGTGTCATGTTCCACTGGATGGATTATTGTGGTACTTTAAAAAGGTGCAAACTCTCAGAACCTGTCACTTTGGTTGATATGTTTAAATAAGAGACAGAGAAATTAAGAACCCTTGACCTAGTATTATGGGAGATTTACATGAAAGTATTACATGAACATTTACATGGAAATATTTTAACCATTTTGCTTGGAACAGTGGCTCAGAATTATAATTATCATAACAGTTAAAGTATGGTATTTCTTACTTTATTACATTTTTTAAAATAGATATTGCATTGGTTTAAAAATAATACGATAAGCAAAAGAGCAAATAATGTTACCTATGAAAGAATGAAGTTAGGAGGTATAGAATATGAGAGTTTTGTATGTGTTATTGTTACAGAAAACGTCCTGTTTTAAAACTTTTATCTTAGGTTTGGGAGTATGTGCGCAGGTTTGTTATACAGATAAACTCGTGTCACAGGGGTTTGGTGTACAGATTATTTCATTACCCAGGTATTAAGCCTGGTACCCAATACTTAATGTTTTTCTGCTCCTCTTCCTCCTCCCACCCTCCACTCTCAAGTAGATCCCAGTGTCTGTTGCTCCCCTCTTCGTGTCCATGAGTTCTCATCATTTAGCTCCCACTTATAAGTGAGAACATGTGGCATTTGGTTTTCTGTTCCTGCATGAGTTTACTAAGGATAATGGCCTCCAGCTCCATCCATGTTCCCTCAAAAGACATGATCTCATTCTTTCTCATGGCTGCATCGTATCCCATGATGTAGCTGCACCACATTTTCTTTATCCAATCTGTCCTTGATGTGTATTTAGGCTGATTCCATGTCTTTGCTATTGTGAATAGTGCTACAGTGAACATTGGCATGTGTCTTTATGGGAGAATGATTTCTGTTCCTCTCAGTATAGTCCCAGTAATGGGATTGCTGGGTCCAATGGTAGTTCTGTTTTTAGCTCTTTGAGAAGTTGCCATACTGCTTTCCACAATGGTTGAACAATTTACACTCCCACCAAGAGTGTGCAAGTGTTCTCTTTTCTCTGCAACCTCGCCAGCATCTGTTGTTTTTTGACTTTTTAGTAATAGCCATTCTGAATGGTGTGAGATGGTATGTCATTGTGGTTTTGATTTGCATTTCTCTAATGATCAGTGACATTGAACCTTTTTATCATGTGATTGTTGGCCACATACATGTCTTGTTTGGAAAAGTGTCTGTTCATGTCCTTTGCCCACTTTTAATGCAGTTGTTTGTTTTGCTCTTGTAAATTTAAGTTCCTTATAGATGCTGGATAGTAGACCTTTGTCAGATGCATAGTTTGCAAATATTTTCTCCTATTCTATAGGTTGTCTCTTTACTCTGTTGGTAATTTCTTCTGCTGTGCAGAAGCTCTTAAGTTTAATTAGATACTATTTGTCAATTTTCGCTTTTGTTGCAGTTGCTTTTGGTGTCTTTGTCATAAAATCTTTGCCCGTTCCTGTGTCCAGGATGGTATTGCCTAGGTCATCTTCCAGAGTTTATAGTTTTGGGTTTGACATTTAAGTATTTAATCCATCTTAAGTTGAATTTTGTATATGGTGTAAAGAAGGGATCTAGCTTCAATCTTCTGCATATGGCTAGCCAGTTATCCCGCACCATTTATTGAATAGGGAATCTTTTCCCCATTGCTTGTTTTTGTCAGCTTTGTGGAAGATCAAATGGTTGCAGGAATGTTCCCTCATTTCTGGGCTCTCTATTCTGTTCCATTGCTCTATGTGCCTGTTTTTGTACCAATACCATGCTGTTTTGGTTACTGTAGCCCTGCAGTATACAAAAACATTCATCAGTGTTCTCCAGCAGAGGGAATAAGACACAAACACATGTGTGATTCTTCTTATCCAGAGTAGCAATGTTTTATAAAGTTACCTTGAACGCTGAATTAGGGGATACTGAATCATTGATCCTGGGGGAAATACAGGATAAGTTTCCTGCAAGCCCCTGGTCACATTTTTTTGTCAATGGATCAACCCACAATCTTCATGCATATGTGTTTCTGTTTAAAGACATCTTATTTAATGTATATTTTTAATTCATACTGAGCTCACAGGCAACAGCACTATAACTCATGCCTGAATGAAGCTTATCTAACACGTTAATTTTTCCGTAAGGCACGCCACAGCCTTCCCTGATTGAGAAACACTAGACAGCACTTCAATACTACTCTTGGGGCCTTTTTTTTTTTTTTTTTTTTTTTTTTTGAGATGGAGTTTTTGCTCTTGTCGCCCAGGCTGGAGTGCAATGGCGTGATCTCAGCTCACTACAACCTCTGCCTCCCAGGTTCGAGCGATTCTCCTGCCTCAGCCTCCCGAGTAGCTGGGATTATAGACGTGTGCCACCACGCCTGGCTAATTTTTGTATTTTTAGTAGAGACGGGGTTTCACCATGTTGGCCAGGCTGGTCTTGAACTCCTGACCTCAGGTGATCCACCCGCCTCAGCCTCCCAAAGTGCTGGGATTATAGGCATGAGCCACCATGCCCAGGGGCCATTTTAAATAGCAAGATTGTCAACCAAAAGCATAAATGCAAAAAATGTGGCACCACATGTCCCACAAAAAGGATGTTTGTTTACAGTATGAGAGCTGGAACAGGAGGCCGAGCATTGTCTTGGTTGACATCAGCTGGTCATGTGACTGTTAGGTGACTTGAGAATTTGCCACTCTGTGAATGGCCATGAATAACCGTGAAAGCTCCATGAGTTATTGATTTGAGGGCTACAAACAAATTTTAGTAAGTAGGCAATTTCCAGGCAGGGAATCAGCAAATAATGAGGATTTAATGTGAGGTTTAAAGGAGATGAAGAAAGTACATTTGGGAAGAAGAGAGTATCCGTCACACCTTAAGGAACTACAAGTTGCCAAAACGCATGAACGTGAGAAAAGCAGCCACACCTTTCAGATTTGTTATAGTGACATTGTTTTTTGTTTTTTTAAAAAATTTTTATTATTATTATACTTTAAGTTTTAGGGTACATGTGCACAACGTACAGGTTTGTTACATATGTATACATGTGCCATGTTGGTGTGCTGCACCCATTAACTCGTCATTTAGCAGTAGGTTTATCTCCTAATGCTATCCCTCCCCCATCCCCCCACCCCACAACAGCAAAGACTTGGAACCAACCCAAATGTCCAACAACGATAGACTGGATTAAGAAAATGTGGCACATACACACCATGGAATACTATGCAGCCATAAAAAATGATGAGTTCATGTCCTTTGTAGGGACATGGATGAAACTGGAAACCATCATTCTCAGCAAACTGTTGCAAGGACAAAAAACCAAACACCACATGTTCTCACTCATAGGTGGGAATTGAACAATGAGAGCACATGGACACAGGAAGGGGAACATCAGACACCGGTGACATTGTTATATTTAAAACGAAAGGGTAAATTAAATGGCTCTATTTTGTTTCATCAGCAATTTCCGCAGTGAGAGTAAGGGTAACATACAATCTGTAATGTAGTTTAGGGATGAATGCAGAGGGAGCTGAATTCAATCAGTAAACCTTTAGAATGACAATAACAGTTCTTAAAGGAGAAGCCATATTCTCAGAAATGAAAAAAAATGGACCCCAAGAAAAATGGACACTTCAAAGAACAGAAGCATATTTCTCCCTTTTCAGCACTGAGAGCCAGAGTGGAATTGTCTCCTTCATTGCCACTGCCTTCACGTTTTGTGTGTCGTATCTGTTTTGTGATCACTGAGACCCAAGAACCCCCGACTTGCCGACATACTATGTGGCCCCGAGAGAGGACTTGAGCTCTCTGGGTTTCATCATTACCATCAATTAAATAAACAGGACAGTAGCTTCTTCCTTGGATTGTTAATTTAAGGCTCTGGATAATACATGTAACCGCCTTATGATAGAGCAGAATTGTAAGTAGGCTCATGGTAGAATCGTTCAATGACATTTCCCTTTCCTTTGGGAGAAACAGAAATTCACAGGTCTAATTCTTTTCCTATTAATAGTTCCTGGCCATTATTCCAGAACTGTCCTAAAGGAATTCTTTCTCCTTAAGGACACCACCTCCCAGGAGGGTATTTAAAGATTTGCACAGGCCGGGCACGGTGGCTCATGCTTGTAATCCCAGCAGTTTGGGAGGCCAAGGCGGGTGGATCACTTGTGCTCAGGGGTTCAAGACCGGCCTGGCCAACATGGTGAAACCCTATCTCTACTAAAAACACAAAAGTTAGCTGGGCCTGGCTATGCATGCCTGTAATTCCAGCTACTCGGGAGGCTGAGGCTGGAGAATAGCTTGAACCAGGGAGGTGGAGATAACAGTGAGCTGAGATGCCACTATGACACTCCAGCCTGGGTGACAGAGCAAGACTCTCTCTCAAAAAAAAAAAAAGATTTTTATAGTCCAGTATTCAACGTTCATAGTACACCTTTCTTATCCTAGTAAATCTTCTTTTATCAAGGTATATGATCCCATATAGTAGTTAACTCTTACTCTTACTTTATGACAACACAGTCTTTATTACTATGTATCAGAAAATTAAATAATTAAAAACAAATTTTATAATATTATTGCTAGTTGTTTTTATTAAGATTCAATTTCCCTTGCACTTAATAAATGTTTCAGTTGCTGTTGAGTCATAAATTTTAAAAATAAAATTCTCCAAATTATTCTTTAACTTTTCATTCTTATAAGTGCATTGCTAATGTCTAAATCTTTAAATTAATGCTAGATTTTAAAGTACTCTACTAACAGTAAATTTAAAATACCTTTATTTGAAGAATTATTTTGAAAACCCTGCTTTTTTTTATTATTATACTTTAAGTTCTAGGGTACATGTGCACAACGTGCAGGTTTGTTTCATATGTATACATGTGCCATGTTGGTTTGCTGCACCCATTAACTCGTCATTTACATTAGGTATTTCTCCTAATACTATCCTTCCCCTAGCCCCCCACCCCACGACAGGCCCCCCGTGTGTGATGTTCCCCTCCCTGTGTCCAAGTGTTCTCATTGTTCAATTCCCACCTATGAGTGAGAACATGCTGTGTTTGGTTTTCTGACCTTGCGATAGTTTGCTCAGAATGATGATTTCCAGCTTCATCCATGTCCCTACAAAGGACATGAACTCATCCTTTTTTATGGCTGCATCATATTCCATGAAAATGCTGTTTTTAAAGAACATAATTATCTTTTTCTTTAGCATGAAAATAAGAATAA